>NC_000009.12:104887218-105038733 GCF_000001405.40 Homo sapiens
AGTGAGCGGAGATTGCACTACTGCACTCCAGTCTGGGCAACAGAGCAAGACCATCTCAAAACAAACAAACAAAGAAGTGCATAGATGTAAGGAAAAGTCTCATTTACCATCAGTATATACAAGAATTTCAGAACTTTTCTGAAAATTTATGATCTGGAGTCAGAGGAATCTAGGTTAAAACTCAACAATCTGCCCAAGATCACAACCTCGGTGAAGGGCAGAGGCAGGATACAAACAAACCCCAACTTGTCTGATGCCGAAGACATTTGCTATTTCCACTACACCATCTTGCCTGCTTGTAATCATTCCAGAAAATCATTCGTCTAGTAGATGAAAAAACTGAGTTTGCCCTTGAAACTTATACTTCAGTGGTGCTTGGCATAATGCTTAAATAAAATCTAAAATGTATTTGCTCATCAATCAAAAAAATCTCTTTGGGGTTCCAAAAGAGAAAACAGAATTATCTCACAGGCATATAAATTGCATATAAATTTCAGTTTATGCTTTTTTTTTTTTTTTTTTTTTTGAGACAGAGTCTCACTCTGTTGCCCAGGCTGGAGTGCAATGGCGCAATCTCGGCTCACTGCAACCTCAGCCTCGCAGGTTGAAGCAATTCTCCTGCCTCAGCCTCCCCAGTAGCTGGGATTACAGGTGTGCGCCACCACGCCTGGCTAATTTTTGTATTTTTAGTAGAGACGAGGTTCCACCGTGTTGGCCAGGCTGGTTTCAAACTCCTGACCTCAAGTGATCCACCCACCTTGACTTCCCACTGTGCCTGGCCCGCTCTTTTCTTTTTTGATGAAATCAGGAAATCACGTCTCAGAAAATGTTTCTTGAGGGGTGTGTGTGTGTGTGTGTGTGTGTGTGTGTGTTTAATATGACTATGTGTGATGTGCATTAGAAAATCAGCAAGTAAATAACTGTTGCTATATATTGTGAGAAAGATGGGACCAGGCCAAGAAACACAATTAAAAGGTGGCCCTGGCCCCACTGCTTTCCTGGAAGAACAGTATCTCATAAGCTTGTGGGTCTCGTAGGGGTATGGACTGAGCTGCTTAGTGGTAGGAAAAATCACTAGGGCAGTGAAACTGAAGTCCCAGCTACATTTCCCAGCTACGTAAATGTTGATCCTTTAGATCTGGCCATTTCTGCAGTGTCAATCCACCCACTGAGCCCAGCCCTAAGAGAAAGACTGTGATTGTAAGATGATACACTGACAATAATAATATGAGGTAGGTATTACTATTCTCTGTTTAAAAGAAACTTAAATCACTTGTCCAAGGTCATATGCTTAGTGAATGCTGACACCAGAATTCATACCCAGATAACCTGACATCTGGAGCCTGTGTTGTTAGCCACTACTGTATTTTCTATGCTCACTGTAAAGGCTGTTATCAAAATACATGATTGACAGATGATCTGAGTTCTATTCAAGGTTGTTATGAGAATAAAATAAAATAATATTAGTAAAACTGAGAAGTTCTACACAAATGCTGCTTAAAATTCTGTGTTCCATGATTTGCAATGTGTGATTAAGACATCATGCATATGGAAAAGACTAGGTGTTAAGGCATTATCTTAAATGTGCTTTTAATCACCACTTTCTAAAATTATCAGTAAGGTTATTCTATTTTCATGATTTAAAATGTGTAAAAGAGATGTTGTCTACTGTTATAATTACAATTATCACCATTCACTAGGACTGAAAACAGTCTCCTGAGTTCATGCCTTATCAACAAATTAGAAGCCTAGGTTTTCTGATCCAAAGCATGTGTGATGTTTCCCAAAGACAGCATCTTTGGAAAAGTCCAATTTAGCCCACGTTAATTGCCTGGATTTTCCCTGCCATTGGTGAGTCTCAGGCAACATCCACAGTTACTTACATTCATGTTGTTCATAGGGTGGGTAGCTCAGCCGAACAGAGATCAGGATCAGGAAGATAAATAGAGGCCAGGCCACTTCCAGCAGCAGCTGACACTGAGTGGGAAATAAGATAGAACACTGTAAATTTAAAAATAATATGGATATCCAATGCCACTGGGATCTGGGAAATCCACAGACAACTTCATTTACTAATTAATCAACTTCTCCAGTCTCTCCCACCACTCTCTAAGCTTTAACAGAACTGTTTGGAGTCCCAACCTTTTAACATACCATTCCATATACCTCTGTGTCTTCCCTTAGGTAAGGGAAGATGCTTCCTATCGTGCTTTATCTGGTTCACTTCTATTCATTCTTCAGGATTCATCGTGGCATAATTTCCTTTACTAAAATCTCAGCCTGAGCTAGAAGCCCTCCTCCTGTGCTACTCCAGTAACCCAGGCACACTCCTCCTGTAGCATTTTCCTGGAGCTCCTGAAATCATCTGTTTCTGTTGCTGGCTTCCTCAGCACATTGAGCACTCTGAAAGCAGGCACCCATCTGTCTGCATTCCCAGCCTTAGCATAGTGCCAGGTATGTGGTGACTATGTTGAGAGGAGAGGACCAGGCCAACCTGCTGTGCTAAATACACACAACCCTTGCTCCTCTAATTGCACACAAAGCTGCTCCCTATGGGGCAGAGAAGAGGGCTCTCAAAGACAATGAAAATTCACACATAGTTCCATATTGACCTGTGTGCACTCAGGACTGTAAAGAGAGAGTGCAAAGTCCTTCCCCATCTGTCCAGGTCTGGTCATCATCTTCTCCGATGAGTTAAAAAGATCATTGAACTTCTAAACAAGCATGATACACTGGTTAAAACAATGAGGTTTCTCCAAAGGAAAACCCTGCCTCAGTGAGTTACCAGGCGATAAATTAGCAGACGGACAAGATGGAAATCACTAGACACAATATAATTGAGCCAGTAGTGTTCAGACAACTAGTTACACTGCCTGAAGTCTATCACCTCTCCCATTCCTTTCATTTCTATATTCCAACGTTGTAATCAAGATAAACACCAAAGAGCCCAAAAGAGTCACAGGGCCTTGTGTTTCAGAGTAATTATAACTTACAACTGTGGCTTCAGAGTCACACAGCCAAGATAATACTGGTATAAAATCCCTTTTTGTCTTCTTTTTTTAAAAAAAGCAAAAGATTGGGCTGGGCACAGTGGCTCATGCCTGTAATCCCAGCACTTTGGGAGGCCAAGGCCGGTGGATCAGCTGAGGTCAGGAATTCGAGACCAGCCTGGCCAACATGGTGAAACCCTGTCTCTACTGAAAATACAAAAAAGTAGCTGGGCATAGTGGTGGGTGCATGGAATCCCAGGTACTTGGGAGGCTGAGGCAAGAGAATCGCTTGAACCCAGGAGGCAGAGGTTGCGGTGAGCTGAGATTGTGCCACTGTACTCCAGCTGGGGCAACAGAGAGAGACTCCGTCTCAAAAACAAACAAAAAAAAAAAGCAAAGATTTTTTTTTTTGAGACAGGGTCTTGCTCCATCGTCCAGGCGGTACGATCCGGAGATCATAGCTCACTGGAACGTCAAACTCTTGGGTTCAAGTGATCCTCTCCCCTAGGGCTCCCAAACTGCTGGGATTACAGGCGTGAGCCACTGCACTGAGCCAAAGCAGAAATTTTTTCTTGATCTTCAAGTCCTTATATTTTTATGGAAAATTTGAAAATAAAAAAATACAGAAAAGTTTAAAAAGGTAAATATAAATCACCTTAATCCTACCTCCCAGAGACAATCCCTAGTAAACTGAAGTAACAATGGATCTCTGTTAACATCTTTTGTCTTTTTTCATGCATACATAAATAATATTTTTTCTCTACAATATTGAGACTATGCAGCATATATACTTTTGTATTCTGTTTTTTCATTTAACATCATACTGGGAGAGCATTTCCCATGACATAAAATATAATCTTAAAACATGTCCTGTAATGTCTACTTGATATTCCACTCTATGAATAGATCATAATTGAACCTTTCTGCTAGGTGCTCGTGCTTCAGATTGTTTTGGGTGTTTTTATTTATTTATTTATTTGTTGTTTTATTTCTGATATTTTTAAAAAACTGTTTTTTATTTCCAAAGACCTTTGATATGGTTCTACATTAAACTCTTTTAAAAAATCTTTTTGGCGATGGATGCAGTGGCTCATGCCTGTAATCACTTTGTGAGGCCAAGGCAGGCGGATCACCTGAGGTCAGGA
Organism: Homo sapiens; assembly: GCF_000001405.40. Classification (NCBI taxonomy): domain Eukaryota; kingdom Metazoa; phylum Chordata; class Mammalia; order Primates; family Hominidae; genus Homo; species Homo sapiens. Next base: position 104,891,354 of record NC_000009.12, read on the forward strand.
GTTGGAGACCAGCCTGGCCAACATGGTGAAACCCCATCTCTACTAAAAATACAAAATTTTAGTGAAACGCTGTGTCTACTAAAAATACAAAAATTAGATGGGCATGGGGGTGTATGCCTGTAATCCCAGCTACTTGGGAGGCCAAGGCAAGAGAATCACTTGAACCCAGGAGGCTAAGGCAGGAGAATCACTCGAACCCAGAAGGCCTAGGTTGCAGTGAGCCGAGATCACTGCATGATCACGCCACTGCATGATCAGAGTGAGACTGGGCAGAAGGAAATACAGCAAGATAATGACAGTGGATGTACTAGGATGATAAGAACGTAGGTGTGGCTGGCGCAGTGGCTCCTGCCTATAATCCCAGAACTTTGCGAGGCCAAGGCAGGCGGATCACCTGAGGTCAGGAGTTTGAGACCAGCCTGGCCAACATGGTGAAACCCCATCTCTACTAAAAATACAAAATTAGCCGGGCGTGGTGGTGCATGCCTGTACTCCCAGCTACTTGGGAGGCTGAGGCAGGAGAATCACTTAAACCTGGGAAGCGGAGGTTGCTGTGAGCTGAGATCACGCCACTGCACTCCGGCCTGGGCGACAGAGCAAGACTCTGTCTCTTAAAAAAAAAAAAAAAAAAAAAAAAAAAAAAGTGATGTTTTTAATACTTTCCTGTCTTTTCTAAATTTTCCACAATGAGCATGTATAAATTATCTCATGGAACAAAAAAACACTGTTACCATAAAACTATCAAGAATAGTTTGCATAGACGGCACAACAGAATGAAAAATAAAGGCAAATGGATCCCTCTCTGGAAGAAAGCATGCTGACAGTGGAGTACTCAAGACCAAAGATGGGGCTGGTCTTGCTAATATTTCTGTAAATAATCCCAAAGAGGCAACATACTCAAATTTCCAAGCTTGGGAATGACATTCAGCCTTTTCTTTTTTTTTAATAGCAAACACCTTTTTATTCTGTAGCTTATTTTTTAAGTTGAGATATACATATATATCACATTGCATATCTTAAAGATATACAATTTTTATTTGTCAATTATACCTCAATAAAGCTGGGGGTGGGGGTGGGGAAGAAAGCAATTTTCTTTCTGCCAAAGAACAAAACCATGACTCTATGAAAATGAACTTTTCTCCCAGCTGAGCCAGGACTCCCTCATCTCAATTTCCCCAGGTACTTTGTGTCTGTATCAGCACTTGGTACACCAGGGACCCTATTTATATATAAGCTTCTCCCTTAGGGTCACTTTCTTCTTACTAAGCCTACCACATGATAATGGCTTTAAAAATGTTTGGTGAGTAAATGAGCTGGTTTAAAAGATAATGAACACGGAAATATAAATCAGTTGAGCCCTTTGGGAAAGCAATGTTAACAATACGTATTCAAGAGTCATGTTTATCCCATTTGCCCAATTACTATTCCTGGAAATTCATCCTAGGAAACTGAACTTAAGATATCAAAAAGCTATATGCATAAAGTTATTCATTCATTGAAACATTATAATTGCAAAATATTGGAAACAACTTAATTGCATAGCAATAGGGAAATGATTCAATTATGGTACATGTACTCAACAATATATCATGCCATCATCAGAATAATGTTTATGAAACACAGAAATCATTAGCCATGTAATATTAAGTGAAAAAAGCAGAATACAAAATTATATGCCATTCCAAGCTTGTAGCTGAATAAAATCACTTATAAATATTAACAAAGACAGGAATACAACTTTCCTTTTAAATGGCATGACTGTAAATAAATTTAGAAAATACTTATGAGGCCGGGCGTGGTGGCTCACACCTGTAATCCCAGCACTTTGGGAGGCTGAGGTGGGTTGATCATGAGGTCAGGAGTTCAAGACCAGCCTGGTCAAAAGGGTGAAACCCCATCTCTACTGAAAATACAAAAAAATAGCTGGGCATGGTGGCGGGAGCCTGTAATCCCAGCTACTCGGGAGGCTGAGGCAGGAGAACTGTTTGAACCCAGGAGACAGAGGTTGGGGTGAGCCAAGATCGCTCCATTGCACTCCAGCCTGGGCAACAGAGTGAGACTTCACCTCAAAAAAAAAAAAAAAAAAAAAAAAAAAAAAAGAAAAGAAAATACTAATGAAATTAGGGGAAAAAAATGAAGCTAAACAAAGAGTATGAGTAAGATAAATAGCCATCAGCCTTGAAGCTCTGAAACTACCATTTGTACTTTAAGGATAAATAGTAGCTACTGTTTATTTAGGGCCCAATATGTACAAGGCACATTTTATATTAATTACTTAATTTAATCCTCAGGACAACCCTGTGAGATAGGAAACATTATTGTCTTGATTTTATATGTAGCAAGGCTAAGGCTGGAGGAAGGGTAAATCACAGAGATAGTCAGTAGCGGGGTTGAGATGAGCAGCCAATTCTACCCAACTCAGGAGGCCACATGACATTCTATTTGACACCACGGGTGACTCAGGTAGGAAATGGCCCCACTAGGTGGAATGGTCTAGAAATATCAACAGGATCCAGAGAGGTAAAATTAATTCACAGCTTGTAGATTTATAATACTTACAGCCAATATTGGGCAGCTACTGTGTACTCAAGACGTTTTGTGTATCTCATCTCCAGTATTTAATTCATAATAACCCTGTGAGGTAGGTTGTATCATTACCGTTTTAGAAGTGAAGAAACTGAGGTTTGAACAAGTTACGAGCCATAAGAAACTGCACCAATGTTTGAACCCAGATCTACTGACACTTAAGTGTGTGCTTTTGTACCCATCATGCTGCCATCACAAAGCTATGTTTAGGACATATACCTTTTAAGATATGCCACTTAAAAGAAACCTAGCACTTGCCAGCCCTGCTGAGCACTGATCTGACCCAATTAATCAAGGCTTATGTTCCTGGATATCTCTGCAGCCCCCATATCTAGGATCCTGTAGGGCAGCAGATGCTCAAAATATGTTGGTTGACTGAAAAAAATGAATGGATCTTCCCCATGGCAACTGACAGCAAAGGGCAAACAAAAAATCTTACAAGCCATTTGGAGCAGCTGAAGCTGGTGAGTGTAAGCAGATCAGGAAAAGAGGTTAAAAAAAATTGATGATGATAATAATAATGAAAGGTCTTACTATGTACCAGGGTTGTGAGTGCTTTATACACATTAACTCATTTAATCATCAAACAATCCAATTAGTACTCTTGTTATACACATTTTACAGAAGAGGAAGCTGAGATTCAAAGAGTTAATACACTGCCCAATGGTCCAAGATTGGCAAATGGCAGAGCCAAGATTCAAAGCCACTCTGACTGAAGGGCTCCTTCTCTTCGCCATTATGGACCCCAACCTCCTTATGCACTTTGCCTTCACTTACCAGAGCATACAGACACCTGCTCTCTCAAAGCCCTTGCTGAGCTGGGAGACTAGCATGTATGAGTGAATTAAAGAGACTGTCTGCAAAGTTCACACCACCTGAGCCAGAGAACTCATGAGAGACAAAATTTAATCTTTGCCCTTTTATCTTGGACCTCTAAAATTCTTCCCATCATTGAACCTAGAACTCACCTTCCAAACCCAGGGGAATGTTCCAGGTATTTCTTTTCATAATAGCCTCCCTCTAGAAACCAAAGTTGACTTCTGCCAGGATATGCCATTATGGCTACACTCATTAATAAAATCAGATTTCTCCTCCTTCTCTAAGCTTAGCACTTTTCCTAAACATAAACCCTCATAAATAGCTTGGAAATGAAGTTGATCCTTTACCATTATAAATTCCTACAGAAAACTCTTCTAAATCTTGCTTTGGTGCCTACCCACCCAACCCCACACCTCCCCATGGGGTGGGAAGATGGGAAGAAACATTGTTTTTAAAAGGCGTTTCTCACCAAAGTCAAAGCTGCTCCAAGAGTACCGAAGCACCACTTTGCACTTCCCATCTTGCTATTTCAACATGGGGATAATATGAGCAGGCACTGCTAGAGCAGATTTTCTTGATAGTGACCCTACTGACATTTGGGGCCAGATAGGTGTTGTGAGAGACTCTCCTATGAATTCTACGAAGTTCAGCAGCATCCCTGACCTCAACCTCTAAATATCAGCACATACATTCCCAGGATTGTGACAACCAAAAATATCTCCAGATGTTATGTCCCTGGTGGAAGGGTGAGGGTGGGGTGGGGTAGGGGGATAACCGGCCCCGGTCGAGAACCACTGCTCTAGAGTTATTATGAGAATTAAATGTATTTCACATAGAAGGCTTAGCACAGAGTCTAGTACTTATCATCATGTTATTCAATATGCATCAAACCACTCTTGAATCATCATTCATAGTTATGCCAACATCTCCCACACTACAGATGTTCACTGTCCACTTGATTATTCATGCCTGACTTTTGCTGCTGGCTGCCGAAGTTCATAGACCACAATCCAGTCACTCTGTGAACCCATTTCCCTCCCTAGCCTGAGGACACAGTCACGGTGCTCTTAAATTCTTGAGATTTAGCCACGTTAATTCAAGGTTAGGGCAGCGCAAGGGCCATGTACAAAGAACAGAGAAAACTAGCAGAATAAAATTGGGCCTTAGGCAAGAGGCTTCTGAATCATGGTAGCCAAAATAATGCACTCCGCGCTGAAAAATGAAGTCGCTATTTCTTAGTATTGAGAGATTCTTGAGAATATAATGGGGGATAAAAAAAGGAAACAAGAAGAATAAACATCAGAAAGGAAGAGATGAAAATATCCTTTCTGTTTCTGGCATGGTCGTAAATCTAAGAGAACTCACAAAGTTAACTAAAAAGCTGCAAATGATTTGCAAGTATGGGTAAGTTAATCAGAACCAAGGTAAATTCTCCTAAATAATAGCATTGCTATTAGTCTCTGAAAACCAGTTAAATTAATATAATGTGGGGAAAAGAGAATACTATCCACAGTGAGAATGGACACATAAACAAAAAAACCTAGGCATTAACTTAGCCAAACATGTGCTTCTTACATAAAAGAAAACCACAGAACTGTAGTAGGATAAATAAAGGAAGATGAGAATTAAGGAGAGCTAAACTCTGCTTCTTCATGAGTTCATTTAATATCCAAATTTCCCAAGCTAATTTATAGATTTAACACAACTGAACTTAAAATAGCGATAGGGTACTTTTTTGAGCTTGATAAGGTAATAACATTCAATGGGGAAAAAACAGATAAAAATATCAAAAGATATTCTGAGAGGCAAAAAGGTAAGTGGGGGACAATGAGCTCCCCCATATATCAGAATGTTCATCAAATTCAGGGTACATTCTGGGCTCTATCAGCACCAAAACTAAAACTACATATCAAATGACCAAATGAATAACTCCAAAATTGCTCCCTACACATCTTTTTTTTTTTTTTTTTTTTTTTTTTTTTTTTTTTTTCAGACAGAGTTTCACTCTGTTGCCCAGGCTGGAGTACAGTAGTATGGTCATAGCTCACTGCAGCCTTGACCACCTGGACTCAAGCAATTCTCCTACCTCAGCCTTCCAAGTAGCTGGGACTCCAGGCAAGTACCACCATGCCTGACTAATTTCCTTATTTTTATAGAGATGGAGTCTTGCTATGCTGCCCAGGCTGGTGTTGAACTCCTAGTCTCAAGCAATCCCCCCACCTCAGCCTCCCAAAGTGCTGGGAATACAGGCATGAGCCACCATATCCAGGTTTTAATAAATGTCCCAAAAATAACTAGAAAAGGAATCACTATTTAATCAAGTGATTATTTATTAAATAATCACTGGGATGACATGATATGAATGTGAAGAAAAATTAATTTTAGACCCATCCCTAACAGCATACATGCCAATGAGACCTGGGAAAACTAAAGTGAAATCTTAAGGATCACATCAGAAAAATGCTAGAGAGGGGAAATGATTTTTAAAACCAGGCCTGCCTTCCCTGAACTACAAAGTCTCATGCATTGATGGTGGCTATTTAAATTGGTTGGATCCTCTGGAAAGACATCTGATCAGACACTTCAAGGGCCATTTCCCTTCAACCTAGTAATCCTGTTCCTCAGATTTTGGCCTACAGAAATAATACAAAAATAATAAAAGATTAAATGTATAGAATCTTTATAGTAATTTATTTGTAACAGCACACATGGAACAATCTAAATGTTGGCAACAGGGTTTGAACTTATAAAAACTGTGTTAATGGATTACTGCACAGCTATCAGGAATGTCAAAGGCATCATCCCACAGTAGATTTGGAGCCAAAAGATCCCAGCCCTCCTCTTAGCAACTTTTTATTTTTTGAGACAGAGTCTCGCTCTGTCACCCAGGCAGGAGTACAGTGGTGCAATCTTGGCTCACTGCAACTTCCACCTGCCAGGTTCAAGCAAATTCTCCTGCCTCACCCTCCCAAATAGCTGGGATTACAGGCAAGTGCTACCACGCCTGGCTAATTTTTGTATTTTTAGTAGAGATGGGTGTCACCACATTGACCAGGCTGGTCTCAAATTCCTGGCCTCAAGTGATCCGCCCACCTTGGTCTCCCAAAGTGCTGGAATTATAGGTGTGAGCCACCATGCCCGGCCATTAACTTATTAACAATACTCTCTTCATCTGTGAAACAGAAATTGCAACGCATACACCTCAGAATTGCTGTGAGAATCAAGAAAGTAATGGATATCAAAGTATTACTTTCAAAACTATAAAACACAGCCTACACATCAGAAATCATTATTCTAAATCAGAAGATGATTTAGAAATATGTGAACACGCACACTAAATAATGTTAAATGAAAGAAGAAAACAGCATAAAATGGTCCATGTATATGTAATGATTACAATTGCTTTCTTGGGCCTTTGTCATTCAAGTTCCCTCTATCCCAAGAGTCACCAGACAATGTGGCCTGACTACCTCAGGGAATCCTCTTGCACATAAAATAAAATTAAATTCTCAGGGGGCACTGTGGGTCACGCCTGTAATCCCAGCACTTTGGGAAGCCGAGGTAGGAGGATCACAAGGTCAGGAGTTTCAGACCAGCCTGGCCAATATGGTGAAACCGCATCTCTATAAAAATACAAAAATTAGCTGGGCATGGTGGTGGGCGTCTGTAATCCCAGCTACTAGGAGGCTGAGGCAGGAGAATCGCTTGAAACCAGGAGGCAAAAGTTGCAGTGAGCCGAGATTGCTCCACTGCACTCCAGCCTGGGCGACAGAACTAGACTCCGTCTTGAAAAATAAATAAATAAATAAATAAATAAATAAATAAATAAATAAATAAATATTAAATTAAATTCTCCTTCCCCAGGAGAATTGGCCCTAAATGATCTGGTCATGTCTACTACCAACTCATCCCCCGCCAGTCTTATTCACTCCACCAGTGCCACTGGCTTTCTTCTGTTCCCTGACCTAGGGGACAGGCACCCCCAGTCTCTCTGCCTGGAATGGATTTCCCTATCTCTAAGCCTCTGATCTTTGCCTGGCTAACCATTGCTTGAACTTCAGGGCTCTCAGCTTTAATGTGACAACCTGTCAATCTAAATGAAATCCCTACCCACACCTGCTAGTATCTAACACCAGTACCATAGTTTGCCGGATTTTTTCCTTCATAATCCTCATCACAGTTGATAGTTATATTTTTATTTGTGTGATGATATGTTTCACATCTGCTGGCCTCACTGAACTGTAAGCTCTACGAAAGCAGTACTCATGCCCAGCTGCTTCACCACTATATACCCAGCTAACCATACCACAAGTAATAGATGCTTAATAGATATTTATCCAAATGAAACAATAAATGTCTATTTGTTTTAACTTTCTTCATTCCGTAGAAGAGAAAACTAAAGCTCTGGAGAAAGGAGTTTTCCTAGGCCACTGAGGCAGATGGTGGCCAAGCTGGGATTGGAATCATGACCACTGCTGCCGGCCCAGGAGTAAGGACAGGGAAGAAATGTGTCAGGTGAAACTAGAAGTGGGGAAAGGATGCAGAGAGTTTCCATCTACTCTGTAAAATTCTCTAAAAGCTCATAAATGAGGAGTTTTAATTTTTGGATAGTTCATTCTTTTTCATTAAAGAATGCCCAAATAGTGGTACTCTGGCTGGGTGCAGTGGCTCATGCCTGTAATCCCAGCAGATTGGAAGGCTGAGGTGGGTGGATCACTTGAGGTCAGGAGTTCAAGACCAGCCTGGCCAACATGCTAAAACCATGTCTCTACTAAAAATACAAAAATTAGCCAGGCGTGGTGCTGTGTGCCCATAATCCCAGCTACCCGGGAGGCTGAGGCATGACAATTGCTTGATCCCGGGAGGCAGAGGTTGCGGCGAGCTGAGATCATACCACTGCACTCCAGCCTGGGCAATAGAGTGAGACTCAGTTTAAAAAAAAAAAAATCACAATTAACTATTTTCCCAGCCACATGACTAGTCAGATCTATTTGAGAAAATTAATAATAAAGGCAAAAGAAAAGAGGCCATGTGGCCACCCTCACTTTGTCCAGTTTGTTCCATGGGGACCTTGGCCTCTGGATCAGCCTAAAACCAGATGAGGATCGTGAAAGCTCTGAAGTTCTCTTCCCCTTCCTGTCCCCAGCCCTGTTTGTACTGAATACCTGCCACCCACACAAGTTAACTGTTACTTTGGACCCAAACTGAGCTTTGCACCCAACTTTCACAACTCAATTCAATTTATTCTTTGCCTAACAGAAACAGCGGAAAACTAACCCTGGCTGATGGTCCCCCCTCAGTCTGCACAATGGGGGTACAGGAGAGGCAGGGGACCCAGGAGTTACCAGCAAACCAGGACACAGAATGAAAAGGCAAGCACTGCCTTTCAACAGGGTTGCTCTGGGGTATACCATTCAGCTCCAGGCTGAACATAGCGTTTCTAGTCTTCCTGGCGGCAGCACACAGGCTTTATGTATGCTTTCTATTCTTCCTAGTGCAAGGGAGCCTCCTCAAGACCTGCAAACTAATGGGCCTTAAGACATTTCCCACTCATTCAGTAAATACTTACTAAGCATGTCCCAAGGGCCAGGCTCTGTGCTGGGCTCTGAGGCCAAGCGTATACACTCCAGGATCTCAGGAGACAGGAACTGTGCAATGAACATCCATACGCTGCAGGCAACAGCTATCATGGACTGCTAACTTCTTCCCCTACCTAATGGGCAGGGCTGGTTCTCACTATGTGAGCTAACAAGTGGCCCCAAAACCCTTAAGAGGTTCTGACGTCTAAACAATATAATCTAGAAATCTAAGCCAGGTGGATTGGAAAGTAGCTACCAGTCAGAACTTGAGATTCAGAGACATAGAAGCTTTAGTATACACAGAGAGCAAAGCAAAAAAGGGTCTGCAACTGTAGGGCCACCAGGAGACTGGTTCTGGTGCTACTTTCCTGACTGACCAACTCTGGGCACCTGTGCCCCCCTGAGCCCCAGTTCTGTCAGCTGTACAAGATGCAAGCCAGATCTTTCCAACTCTAACAATCTAAGCATCAGCAACCTGAAATAAATCACTTTTCTTTCTGATTCAGCAAAATATACTTCCTTTAGAAATCAGGAAGAGAGTTAAGGAAAACAGGTTAGCAGGCAGTGGTATAACAACTTAAGCCCCTTTGTGTCAGGGTGTTGCATCCCACTTCCTTCTTTAAAAAGAACTCTGCCACAAGGCTACAAACTGCCTTTGGCTAAACCTGCCTATCTCTCTAATCCTAACACTTTTAAACCCATCTGCAATACCAAGCAAGAAGCAACAAGACCAGTGGAGTCTGGCCCAATTTGAATGACCCAACCCCACATCCTGTTGCAGGATTCCTTCCCTGGCTAAGCACGGAAAACCTTTTCCCTGCCCTTTCTTCTAACTTCAAGCTGCTAAGCAGCTGCAAAAAAATAAAAAATAAAAATAGTTTGGAGGAGGGAAGAAAAGTCACTGTGATGGGACAGAATGAGGCTCGGCCCTAGTCCTGGGGATCTCAGCTTCTGGTTGCAGCTCAGTTGCTGGCTGGGTGACCTCAAGAAATCCCTTCCCTGCTTTGTACCTCAGCTTTCTCATCCGTAAAATAAGAGGTTCAGACTAGACTACCCCAGAGCCATAGCCCCCCTTTCATTGCCAACATGATATGATTCTTCCCACTACTCACTAATGGACACACAACATGGATAAACCATGGCGGAGACAATTTCCCAGCAAGTGGGCCCCCTCTACCAGGATAAGAAGGGGCAGGAGCCCTGGATCACACTGTAGCAAAGGAATAAGAGTAAGGACGGACATAGAGGACTGGAACACCAAGACCTGGGGATAACCACGGGAGGCAGGGAGAAAGGCAAGGAAGGAGTCAGAAACTTCAATATTCTCAGATGGAGAATAGGCAAAATAATGACACCACTGAAAAGCGATTAGGCACATTGAGTTAGAGTGCCAGCTCCAAAGTCAGATTATCTGGATTTGAACCCTACCTGTGCTCCTTGTTAGTGGTGTGGACCTCAGACAAGTTACTTAACCTCTCTGAGTAGCACGTTCCCCAGCTACAACATGTGGAAATAACAGTACATCGCGGGGCCTTAAAAGGAATAAATCTAGTTAATAATGCCTAATCAGTTAGTGCCTCACACATGGAAGCTCATTCTAAGTGTTTGCTTTTATTTTATTAATATAATATTATCTATTATACTTTACAATTATTATTAAAACAGATAGGATCCACAGATTCCAGTCCCTGTTCTCTCACTAGAGACCTCAGAATTCAGGTTCCCCATTTGTAACATGAGAGGCTGAACACAATCAGTTTTTCTCAAAGGAAGATCTGTATACATATTGCTGAGGGATTATATTTAAGTTCTCTAAGAGGATTTTAAACACTTTGTTTTCATTTCAACAGTCATCTAAACAAAGTCTAATAAACACATATGGATTTTTTAAATGCTTACTTTAAAGCCAAGTTCTGGCACAAGATTTCAAAGCCCAAGTTTATATTTGTGTTTATGATTGTGTTGGCACCAGTATAATTGTAGCAAACTCATGAGGATGGAACAGGTGCCATCAAATTAAGGTCATACAAGTAGAAAAATGGGTGGAGAATTCAATCATTAGCACATGATAATATAGACTGGCCAAACTCAAAATGATCAGCATGATAGCATTTACTGCCATGCAACTTATAATTTGGTTTCAGTTGAACAACAGCTGCCTCACCACATTTAAGGTATTAATTTGAATGGTATTGATTTTGCAATTTTGGCTGCACTTAATTTGTAAATATGTATGGGTCATATAGTTGTATAATAACAGCCTATAAGAAGTTTATACCTACTTTTACTTCCTAATATTTAAGTAACACTATAATAAAAAAGGAAATTTAGTGAACAAAAGGATGCTTTGACACTTTTGTTCTTTTACAGACAGTGCAAGCATTATTCTAGTTTGAGGAAAACTGAATGAAATTCTCTCCAAAGTCCCTTATAGCCCTTTGAATCTCAGAAAGATGATCATTTTGATTACAGACATGTTAAGCTACATTAAGACAGCCAAGTGGGGATACTGGCTTAGAATCCAGGAAAAAAAAATAAAGGCAGAACAGGAACAAGAGACTTAGAAACTAACTACAGAGAAATGCATCCTAGAGATGGGATCTCTAAGGAAGGGTGTTCAGAGATAGAGAGACAAAGAGCTGACGTCTGAGTTTCAGGGAGTTCACTCTGCTCTACAGCCCTCACATCCCTCTGTGGAAGAGTTCCATTCACCTGCGCATTAAAGATGATCTCCAGATTACTCAAAGCATTATTGGCCCATCTGGGAAGTGAATGGCTTAGAACCCTCTGCAGAAATAAAACAAGTCTCAGTTATTATATTCCTCCAGGCCTGAAGGAAAGAATCCAGATTGACACCAAGATACCCAGTATTGATCTCTAAGAGTGGGGCCACTAACTCACTTCACCCACAGCTTCCAGAAATACAGGGGCCCATTAGGGGCTTTTGGAGAGCCAGGTGGCTCCCAGGGCTGCAGCAAAAGGAAAAAGTGGGGTGCTCAGGGGCGATTCGGAGCCAGGTCCTAGGGATCAGAACTCATGCCTGGGCAGTAGCACAAACCAAAGCTACTATTTCTACCTGGCTGCAAATCTGCCCTCTATGATAAGCCACATGCCATATCCGGACCACACAGTCCTGTGTCCATAAGAGCCAGATTCCATCAATCCCTGTGTGAAAACCAACACAGCTTCCTTCCCTCCCTCCCTCCTCCAATCCCCAACTCAAAACCACAAAGAAAAAATGAGAGAACCCCCCGCTGCTGAAAAACCCAAGCTTACTGTTTGTCTTCTTCTGAAAGTGAGGTTCTTCCACAGCAGCAACCTCAGCTGAGGCCAACAAGCCATGTTCCCTCAGCCAGCACCCCCAGCGTGTGGCTCGGGAGCCCTGGAAGGCAGCGGCCAGAGCTCACAGCAGGGACGCCGTGGCTGGTCATTAACTGAAAGATAAAGCAGGAGGGGAAACAGCCATCAGTTATTGCTGCAAAGCCATACACCAATGAGGACTGCTAATCCAGCCCTCTCAGCTGAGACCTCCAACACACAGCTCTGCATCATGACTGCTTCTCAATGGATCATGAGTCACCAGCTCCCAGCCTCTGGGTTCACCCACAAAGAGGGACTCGGGAGGTGTTCCGACAGCAGGCTAGGAGCTACGTGTTATGGTCCTAATCATTTTAGTTCTATAGATGTTATCATCTGGGAATGAAGAATGCATTTCTGAAAATAGACCTCTCTCAGGTGGCCAAAAACACTGAGGATGGAAATGGCATACTGGAATCCCAGAGACCTACCTCTCTTTTCTAAGAAAATGCCTCCCCTTACATACAAAGTCAGCAGCATTTGTAAATTTTGCCTCAAGCCTGGAGTGACTTATACTATTCCCTGAACTTCCTTACATACTAATTTTCAGTGGGTTATACAACTGAGTCCTTCAAATGATAAAAAGCACCATCGGCCAGGCGTGGTGGCTCAAGCCTATAATCCCAGCACTTTGGGAGGCCGAGGCAGGCGGATCACGAGGTCAAGAAATCGAGACCATCCTAGCCAATACGGTGAAACCCCGTCTCTACTAAAAATACAAAAATTAGCTGGGCATGGTGGCAGGCACCTGTAGTCCCAGCTACTTGGGAGGCTGAGGCAGGAGAATCGCTGAACCTGGCAGGCGGAGGTGCAGTGAGCCAAGATTGTGCCACTACACTCCAGCATGGCGACAGAGCGAGACTCTGTCTCAAAAAAAAAAAAAAAAAGCACCATCAATAAAGCAGTTTCCTAATCTGGAAAACCACAACGTGCCTTAGATGAGTGTGAGTAAACACCAAGAAAATGCTACCGACACCTGGCTCTCAGGTAATGAGGACAACCCTAGCGCTGTGTCTCTGGAAAGAAAACAGCATCCCATGGAGAAACAAGTCTGCTATGGCAGGCTCAGGGCATCAACTGTGAAACCGACAAACAAGCTCCCATGGTCAGCACATATGCACACTTCTGGCCTTGTTCCACCTGCACCTGAACACACCGCCCCCCTACTCCGTTGGGTGTCACAGGTGCCTCCTTGGAGGACTGTTTGCCATGCTAGGGCAAGAAGGTCTTCTCGTGAACAAGGGATACTACATTCTGTGTATCCCAGCCACCCATCCAGCAGTTACCCTTATTTAATGCTGGAATAGTCCCAAGTAGTTATATTAAAGTTAAAGCTGGGGAGGGGGCAGAAGATGAAAAATGGAAGGGAGGACACACAGGTGAAAATTCGGCCCTGCTGGCACTTGGTAGCCATGAACTCTCCTAGCTGTGCTTATGAAATGGCTCAGTGAATCACTGTGGCCTCTAGAGGAGTAGGGGCAAGGGTAGGGTGGGACACTGGGCATGAGGAACAAGGAGCAGAAGGAACTAAGAATGCAGTAGCGAGGTATGGATACAAAACCAAGCGCTAGACTAGAAATCTGTGAGTCCAAATGAGATCTCCATGCCAAGGTCAGTCTCTAGTAGAACAATACCCTTTTATCTACCACCCAACAAGGACTTGGATTAAAACTTCTAGAAAAGTCAAGAGATTGGAGGAAATTGCAGTGTCTGAGAAGAAAAGACAGCCTACCACTATGTATTCCAATTCATTCATTGACAGTCCAATAAATCAAGAAATTCTCTGAAATAGTCAAGCCTTAGGACCTATTTCTTTTCCTTACCATTTGCTCAGCAAACTTCTAGAAGGACACAGGCCTCCAAAGTTTCTTACTCCAAAAAGAGGAAGAGTTAAACCAGCACTGCATCAGTTTGTTCAAAGATGACAACTGGCAGCACAGCACTGGCAACCAGAGCAGCATTGTGAGACACATGCTTGTCATCCCAAATTGTTTTCTAAGTGGCTCAGGACAGAGCTTGCATTCCAGAGACACTGAAATAAATAATTAGCTAGATTTTTCTCATACAGAAGCTGCTCTCCAGGAATCAGTTCGTTGATTTAGAAGCTACATGAATCTCTTGAAATCCCCAAGGTAACAATGAGGAGGGGACAATTAAAAAAGGAAAACTATCAGAAAGAGCCCAGGCATGAATTAGCCCCGGCTTCCCAACTATGTGCCCCTGGCCAAGGCTTTATGCTCTCTAAGCATCAATTTCCTCATGGTAAAATAAGGATGACAATACTTACCTTGTATGGTGTTCAACTGTGTTCTACTGTGGATTCAACGAGATAATATAAATAATTTCCCAACACAGTACATGGCTTAATTTAAGTGCCAAAGCAATGTGAGTTCCCTTCTCCCCATTTATCTTTCTTCATTCCAACAATATCCTCTAGCTGAGAAATGGTTATATCCTGTCCAAACAGGACGTTCCATTATTTCTAGCAAATCCATTGTGGGTTTCTGGAAAGATAGGAGGGGCAAAGCAGTAAGGATGAAATCTTAATAGCCTAGTGTTGCAGTACCCAGAGCCAAACCCAAATATAGAATATCACCTCCCCTAAACCCTGAGTGGAAAAGCTCAAAGGAAGAGAAGACACACCTCTACACAACGTTCATGAGAAGAAGGGAAGGATGAGTTTTCTTGGACAGCATTTTCTTGGAAGTAAAGTGTCTGGGTTTCAAGAAAAAGGTTCTGACTCCAAGGACTCTCCAGGAAGCACATGGAGAAGGTTGCTAAGAAGTAGCATAGAGCCACAGTAGAAAGTTCTACCGTGGCTTTGCTGGGCACACTTAGGCAAGCTTCCTGCTCCAATTCCTCCCACCCACCTTGGCACTGACCTGGCCTCCTGCACAATTTGCTCCCCCAACTCAGAACACAATGATCAATACTGGGAGCAATTCTGTCCTAAGAGGAGAGTTTGGCAATGCCCGGCCCCTTCTGCTCAGGTAACTGAAGCCAAAGGGACATTTCCACATCAGTTTTCCAAGTTAGTGAACAAACAAACCAAAATCAAAAAAAAAAAAAAAAAAGATATAAAAGAGACAGTACTATGTACTAGATTTCTCAATGTTTCAAATGCAGTACACTCACTTCTGCCCTCATACACATTTCCAGTTACTGGCTGGAAAGGATCCCACTTCACAGTCATCCCAGTCAATAGGCCACTCTGATCCTGCTCCTAGATGACCGCAACTGCCACCTCACTGGTCTCCCAACCATTTGTCACAGAGCACCCAAAGTTACTCAGCTAGACCAAATATCTGAACATGCCTCTCCCCGACTTAAAACCTTTTGCCAGCTCCTCAGCACCTGAACATAGAGTCCAGTGCTCACCAAGGTCTACCTGGCCTCCCTTCTGTGACTCCAGCCTACTCTCTTGCCACTCC
Source organism: Homo sapiens (assembly GCF_000001405.40). Classification (NCBI taxonomy): domain Eukaryota; kingdom Metazoa; phylum Chordata; class Mammalia; order Primates; family Hominidae; genus Homo; species Homo sapiens. The sequence goes on from NC_000009.12 coordinate 104,907,126, forward strand.
CCACCTGCTAAGCAATGCCCTGGAGATGTGTATACAGGCTCAGAATATGCTGCACGCTCTCCTACCACTGGGACTTCACTGGTGAGTTCTCTTGTCCTAAGACACTTTTTCAAGCACTGCTAGCCTGGCTAATGCCTAGGTCTCAAACTTAGGTCTCCACTTCTTCAATGTCCTTTCCTGATATCCTCCCCTGCAACTGACACGTGGGTTCAGAGCCCTTCCTACGTGCTCCCTAGGAAGACTTGGCTGGGAAAGAGGATTTCTACCTTCTGAGTCAGAGCAGAGACCATTTCTGTTTCCTTCATCCCTGTTTTCCTTAGTATGCAAAAGGGTCCTGGCTTGTCGTAAGCACTTGGGGATGTCTGCTTAATTAATTAAGAGACGGATAGGAGAAATAGGGTGTCAGAATTCAAGGGTGGCAGCACTCCTGGACCTGTGGTAACTCATTTCTCAAGCCTGATTAAATGATTTGGGCAAATTATCCCCAAAGAGGGAGCTCTGTGTTCAGCAGCTTCTACCATATGCTTGAAAGTCACAAAGGACTGCTGAGCTTCCCAGGTGACTCCTGGGACATCCTGAAAAACGTAATAGAATCTAAGTCTGTTTCCCATAACTGCCAGCTTTAGCTAAGGACTGGGCAGCCTCCCAAGGCCAGCAGGGCCATGCAGTCGACTTCCCGCCCGTCCTCACCCTCAAGCCCGAGGCGTACGCTCTCTGGGTCTCATCAGTCACCCAAGTGGATCACTCCTTGCCAAAATGTGACAATCTCCACACCTCAGCCTTGTTTCATACAGTTTGGGCATGGCAGAAGTGACTGCTGGAAACCTTTGGCCAATTTTTTAAGGAAATTTTAACTGCAAATGCCACTGATATTTTGAAGTTATTAATATCTACAGAATACAACAGACTGCTAAATTAAAACCTTCCCAAATAAGCAGAAACACTCATCATTAGCTGCAGAGAAATGCAAATTAAAACCACAATGAGATATCATTACATACCCACTAAATTAAATATTAAAAGTGCTAGCATGTGTATGGAGACACTGGGACTCAATACACTGTGGAATTGTAAAATGGAAGAGCCACTTTGGAAAATAGTTTGACAGTTTCTGCTAAGGTTATACAGTACTATTATATGACCCAGTCATCCCATCCTAGGTATTTGTGAATATTTATAGAAGCCTTATACAGAATAGCCAAAAACTGGAAACAATTAGTTGTCGAAAAGACCATCAACTGGTGAATAAATAAAACTGGGGCTGGGCACAGTGGCTCATGCCTGTAATCCTAGCACTTTGGGAGCCAGAGGTGGGCGGATCACCTGAGGTCAAGAGTTTGAGATCAGCCTGGCCAACATGGTGAAACCCCATCTCTACTAAAAATATAAAAATTAGTTGGGCGTGGCGGTGGGTGCCTGTAATCCCAGCTACTCAGGAGGCAGGAGAATTGCTTGAACCTGGGAGGCGGAGGTTGCAGTGAGCTGAGATCGCGCTACCGCACTCCAGCCTGGGTGACAGAGTGAGACACCTCCTCATAAATAAATATATAAATAAAACTGGGACACTTACTCAGCCATAAAAAGGAATAAGCTACTGTTACATGCGACAACCTGGATGAATCCCAAAAGCCTAATGCTAAGAAAAATAAGCCAGACACAAAAAACTACATACTGCATGATTCCATTTATATGACATTCTGGAAAAGGTGAAATGAAGGGGACAGAAATCACTGCAGTGGTGACCAGTGGTCATGGGTGGAGGGGACGACAGACTGAAAAGGAGCATGGCAGTGGTAGATACACATGTGTATCCATTTGTCAAAACTCATCATACTTTTGTAAAGGGGAAGTCTTACTGTGGTAAATTACACATCAATAAATCTGAACCAAATAAACTGCCTTCTATTATCATAATTAACATACCTCACAAGTCATAACTTGGAAGACCTAAGAACTGGATAGTGTAAAGCCTGATTATTGTGTGATCGCCTTGGAAGAGGAATAGTAGATAAATATTCATTACCACTTATAAATTCCACAAACAACTGCAGCCTTAACTCTGCAAGGTGCCCATGAGCCACAACAAATATTTATCGAGTGCCTATCACATGCCAGGTGTGTTCCATACCTTAGAGATTCAGTGGTGAACAACAGAAGCAAAGTTCCTTCATTCATGGGGCTCCTATTCTACCAGGGATGGGAAACAGACAAATAATAGTGGGTTGTTCAAACAGTGGGTGGTGGTGGTAGGATTGACGAAGAAAAATAAAGCAGAGTAAGGGGACAGAGAGTAACGGGGTGGAAGTTATTCCTTTCTGATGAAGCATCTTTAGGACAATGAACTGAGAGAGTGGACCATATGCTACCCACAAAGGGGTGGCTTAAATGACAGCTGGGATTATAAAATTACTTTTACTTTTCCCTAAACCAAAACCTGGAATACCAGACAGCAGACAGATTCAGTGATGCTGGCAAAAGAAATACACACACACACACACACACACACACACACACACACACACACACACATTCACAGGAAGCTGGCTGTGAAGGGGGAAATGATGACCCTAGTTAGCACCTGGCACGTGTTCTCCCACCTCTTCCTCACCAAAACATTGTGCCCTTTTGAACTTGACATGCACATTTCCAGGAGAGATGAGAGATGAGAATTATAAAGAAGAAGAAAAGGGGAGAGAGGATGACACTAAAAAGACAAGATAGGAGGATTTTTCCCCATTTGGCATAGCCAAAAGAAAAACAGGAACTCCTTCCCGTGACTGCCCTCTACTCTTCTACAGCACTAAATCTGTCTATGGAAACACAGTGAGGAAAGAAAGTGCATGTATCTGTACAGCTACCAGAAGCTGTTTGCTTGTGCAGTAACAAATGGGCTGGCTGGTCTTTTTCCTTCCCGCAAGAACACTGCCAACACATGAGCTTTAGTGCTGGGCTCCTATCGAAGGGTGACAGTCAGCCCTCATGCCTGAGCCAGGGCAGGTTCCAGAAGAGGGAAGTCTCCAAGCAGGGATCATACAAGTGTCAACATCTCACTGGGACAGAGAAATTGGCCCCTCTGGGTGGAAGAGGAGAGGCTTCCACAAAGTCATGCTCCATTTGACTGTCGTATTAGTAGATAAAATCTCTTGGAATGTTGAAGACTCATTCCCACTACACCCCTGCTGCAATCTTATAGACAGAGAAGCTGAGGCCTCCCCCAAAGCAAGTGACTTGCCTAGCATTAGAGCTGGTTTCTCAAGAAATAACTTTTTCAACAACTCTTATATGCCCCTTCCCACTTAGCTATTTCTCCTATGATTTTGTTTGTTGTTCTGAATGCATTTCTCAGAGTTCTATCCAAATAGTTCACATACCCAAAATGTACAGATAGCAACTAATTCTCCTCTTTCAAAAACAGTGATTATATGACAGCTATTTCATTAAACCTTAAACAAACAAGAGAGTATGTGTGTGTGTGTATGTGCGTGTATTCCACTTTGTTCAACAAACTTCCAAAAAGTTACCAGAAGTGAGATGGAAGTTGAAATTTCCAACAACAGCTATCAATATCTCTCTTTTTTATTACTTTATTTTATTTTTTAGATGTAATCTCACTCTGGTGCCCAGGTTGGAGTGCAGTGGTGTGATCTCAGCTCACTGCAACCTCTGCCTCCCAGGTTCAAGTGATTCTCCTGCCTCAGCCTCCGGAGTAGCTGGGATTACAGGTGCCCACCACCAAGCCCAGCTAACTTTTTTGTATTTTTAATAGAGACAGGGTTTCAACATGTTGGCCAGGCTGGTTTCAAACTCTTGACCTCAAGTGATCTACCTGCCTCAGCCTCCCAAAGTAATGGGATTGCAAGTGTGAGCTACCATGCCCGGCCTCAGTATCTCTCTTGATGAGGTTGCTTCTAGATGTCTTTTTCGTAATTGAGGTATAATAGACAAATAAAAATGTTATATATTTACAGTGTTCTAGATGTCTTATATCAAAAACAGCTTGCCAGTAAACTACAAAGCAGGAGGTGGATTTAACTACATCAGATATGAACTGAAAATACATTGGTGCCAAAGCTCTGATTGCCTATTCATGAGATGTTGACACAAAAGCAAGAATCACAGATATGACTCATGTGCCTCATCTCCAGAGAGATGCACAGGGTCCTATAATATTAGGACATGAAACTTCTAAGCCCAACAGAACATGCTTGCTTTGGAAAAGGTCTGTTCTCTAATTGCCTCTCTGATCATGTGTCTTTGGATCGGTAGCCACGTTCAGGGACAAGCCTAACAAGGTTACTGAAGGCCAAGACACCTGGAAAGAACAGGTTCACTGCACCCATGATTAAAGACAGACAGATCGTGGCTGCTGTGGGGGTGGGAGGGGATATTGAGAGTCATCCTGCAATTTCTCCCAGGCTGACCCATCAGCTTAATTGAGCCTGAAGCTAATCTGACTGCCTCAGTTTAACTTTTCTGGCCTCCAGATGCTACTGGGCCCTCTATCCTTAAGGGTATCCTTGCTAGGACAGCCTTAAATTATACCTCCTCACACTCCTGAAACATTCCATAAACCACAGTTCCAGGGAAACTACCTTGAGTTAGGGGGCCTTGCAGAAGGGTCATGGGCTGGTACTCCCCCCTGAAACTGTGTTCCTATTTTTAAAGGCAACATTTTAATAGTCAAATTTGAGAAGCCAAAAGGGGTAAGAAATCCTCCAAGGTAAAAGTCAAGGATGAAATGAAGTTATCCAATCATTCCAGAGGAATTCTATCATTCTATAAGAGGTTCTGCTATCACACTGTCCGTTTAAAAATATATAGATCCAGTGAATTTTATTAATTCCAATAATCTGTAACTTGGGTGCAGTTTTTAAAGTACCAAATGCATCACACTTACTTGATTGTTAGTTACAATAAGATAATAGGTAACTGTACTTCCTTCTTTCACTTGAATACACATCCAATTTCCTAGACAAAATTATTGCTAATAGCTAATTTTCAAAATAAGGGCTATGAATTTGTAAAAACTGAAACAAGAAATCTATGAATATTGTACAAATCTATAACTAGCTTTTGAGAAGCATAATTCTTCATGTTGTCAACAATATAATTTTACAGGAGATCCTGACCGGGTGTGGCGGCTCATGCCTGTAATCCTAACACCTTGGGAGGCTGAGGCAGCAGGATCGCTTGAGCCCAGGAGTTTGAGGCTGCAGTGAGTTATGATCATGCCACCATACTCCAACCTGGGCTACAGTGCAAGACCCTGTCTCAAAAATAAACAAACAAATAAATAAGGAGATCCTAAAGGTTTAACTCCATCTATATCATGTCACTGATACTTGGACAACCAAAGATCCTATTTATCACCCTCAACATTCCCGTTGCCACCAGCTAAATGGTCTCAGGGCTTCTAAACCTCACAAGAGCCAGGATTTCTGAAAGCAGATCTGTCCTGTACCCCAAGTCCTTGTTTCATCACTATAGAACTACGAAGAAACTCTAACAAAATGTTAGAGATAGCCTCTCTTCCCCTGCTGATTTCCACTAAGCAAACACCAAGCAACCTTCAAAGGAAGACTTCAGCAAACAATACCACTATTTGCCTTTTCCCTGGTCGGGGGGTATGTAGCACATAGAAAAAAAGAATCTTTCCTCTAGAAAAGAAATCAACCTTTCAACATTCTATGTCATAGAAAAAAAATCAATTTTTTTCAGTCACAATCATAACACCAGAATAAAAGGGATCTGAAGGGAAGGGATTAGTGAATTCATAAACACCCTGAGCTACAGAAACACAAGCAGGCAAGCCTCTATCAGCAACCCTTTATTTGCAGAAAAACTTGGCTGGATAATGTTCCCTGCTGTTATAGGACGGTTTTCCAAGAGAATTTTGGGATAAATGGTTTAGTGACCATATCACCAAAGATCACTTTGTTTGGATTACATCTCTGAAGAATCAGTGTCTTCAGATGTTCAACCTTCTCCCAACCTGAAGGATTTATATTTATGAAAGTGCTCAAAGCATTTGGTGGGGCAGACAAACCCAAATCTTAGTCACTGTCTTTCTTTCTTTTCCTTTGGGTCTATTCTACCATGCAGAAAACTCCCCAAATCCTTAACTCCTTTGTTGTCTTGAGTTAATTGTTTCAGCAGGAAGAAAGGAGGTTTTAGAGTCAGAGAAAGCTGGGTTTGAATCCTGACTCTGCTACTCACCAGCTCTGGAACCCTAGGGACTCTGAGCCCCTGTATCTTCTCCAAAAAATAGAACTGATAATGTATGTAAAACATTTATCCAGTTCCTGGAACAAAGTAAGTGTACAGTAGCTATTACCATGATTAATTCTGGCAATTTCACAGTGAAGTATTCATCAAGGGTGGGACACAGAGTGGGTGGTTTATTAAAGGAATCTCTTTTCTGTATTCTTTGTCCACAGAAAGGGCCTTTCCAGAGCAAACTGGAGCGCTCTCCAGTACCCAGTGCATTGGTAGAGGTGAAAGCATTATACGGTATCCTGTTGCCACTTCTGACCATTGTTTTACTATAAAACCCCCTCTTGGGGGTCCTCACCACTCACTTATACTATTTTCTCTACATTCTCACAGAGGTTGCACCTATCCTCCATAGCACACTGCCACCTCCCTACAAGTTTTTATTTTATTTTATTTATTTATCTATTTATTTATTTAGATGGAGTCTGGCTCTGTCGCCCAGGCTGGAGTGCAGTGGCGCGATCTCGGCTCACTGCAAGCTCCGCCTCCCGGCTTCACGCCATTCTCCTGCCTCAGCCTCCCGAGTAGCTGGGACTACCGACAGCCGCCTGCCAACACGCCCGGCTAATTTTTTGTATTTTTAGTAGAGACGGGGTTTCGCCGTGTTAGCCAGGATGGTCTCGATCTCCTGACCTCGTGATCCACCCGCCTCAGCCTCCCAAAGTGCTGGGATTACAGGCGTGAGCCACCGCACCCGGCCCCCTACAAGTTTTTGGCACCTGACTCAGTTTTCCTGTCCATCCCATTTCCTCCAGCCTCTATGTCCATTAGAAATCTCTATTAGAAATCTGAGCCTTGGCCAGACGCAGTGGCTCATGCCTGTAATCCCTGCACTTTGGGAGGCTGAGGCAGGTGATCACCTGAGGTCAGAAGTTCGAGACCAGCCTGGTCAACATGATAAAACCCCATCTCCACTAAAAATACAAAAAAGTAGCTGGGCATGGTAGTGGGTGCCTGTAATCTCAGCTACTCAGGAGGCTGAGCCAGGAAACCATCAAGTGAGACCATCAAGTCTCACTTGAACCCGGGAGGCAGAGGTTGCAGTGAGCCGAGATCATGCCATTGAATTCCAGCCTGGACAACAAGAGTGAAACTCCATCTTAAAAAAAAAAAAAAAGAGAGAAATCTGAGCCTTATAATTCCTCCATCTTTTCAGCTCTACCTACAATCTTCTCTAGTGTACTAACTCATCAGTGATCCCTGATAAATTAAGCAATGTGCAACAAGCTACTGTGTCTCACCATCTTCCTACTCTCCACTACACTGAACCCACAATGACGCAGCGCTCCACAATCACATGTAGAATGGAAGTAAAACCTCAGCGATAAGAAAAGATAGTTAAAGCAGATTCACTACAGTAACAAACCAGTCAAGAAATGTCACTGAAAGTAAAGGTTTGTGTGACAAAATTTCCAGCTGTGTTCTAAGAAACATAAGTTCAAGCAGGAGTGCATTTAATCTGATTTTTCCTCAAAGCCTCTCTAATTTGTAGGGAAGCACATTCATTTTCATTAACTTCATGTGAGCTAGAGAGAATCTGTGATTGAGGCTCTAGAACCCCTGGTAAACATGCCATCAAGCAAGGGCACCTTCCCCGGAGGTTCAACCTAGAGTATAAGATTGTCAGCACTGGTAAAGAGCCTTGAACTCTAAACCCATAGATAGGCTCAAGTCAGGAACTCAGGGAGCCTATAAACACCTGGATACAATTTTGCCACCTTAACACTTTTATTCCCTTTACTTGCGCCAAACTGAGTTATCCAATCTCCAGGCTCTTGTCCAGTTCTAGTTCATACAGTATCGGCAGCCTTCTCCAGAACGTCCTTTCACCAGCCAGCTCTTGAGACAGTCATATGTCATGTGTGCAAGACACTTCTATTTCTGCAGCCCGGCGAGGGCCAGCTAACTCGGTTAGTGACAATTTAATCAAAGTTCCAGGGCAAGCACAGAGACACAGAGTCTAAGTCTTGCCCTCCAAAACTTACAAGCAAACTCCTTCTTTAGAATAACCAAAACAAACCCTCTCGCTGGCTGCCTCACTAAATTAAGAGAAGAAAGGGGAATAAGATCACAAGTTTAAATCCACTTACTTGTGATTCTGAAAAACAAAAACTTAAGGGTGTTTTTCTTTAAATATTGACTACATGAACTCTATTATATGAGGTCTGAGAGGATCCTACAAAAGGATCTGTATTATTCCAATATTATCAAGATTCTGAGTGTTCCTTATAGAAAAAACTACTGTTATTAAGATTTTCACAAATCAAACATTCTGTGTGCCAAAGAACAAAGTGGGAAAAATGGAACAAAAGTGGGAATAATTCCCAAAAATGGAATTATTGGGTTTCATTTTTGGTAGCCTCCTTCTGTCAACTGTAGTTTTGAAAAATTCACACAATCCAATCCCCCAAGCAACAACGCGCTAAGTGTTTACATCAGGTGAGAGCTGGTGTTGGTCACATATGCTATGAACTAGAATTGGACAATGTCCCAAAACGGAGTGCCATCTGGGGTCAGAGTGCCATGCCCTTCTCTGCAGACTCCAGGGACATATCCACTCTGCTTAATGGAAGCCACTGGAACCAAGTGTCAGACAGCCCTCTATTTGCTCCACAGAGAAGAAAGCCATGCTCTGATCATGTGAAATGTGACTGGAATTGTAAACTGAAAAATGGCACTAATTCCACTAAATTTGCAAATCCTGCAACAAGACTGACAACTTAATAAACAATACTTGACCAAAGGCTTTCTTTCTCGTGAACTCAAGGTTTTCACTATAATTAACACAATCATTAAAGTAAAAAAAAAATAAAAATAAAAACCCTGCCTTGATTCACAGTTAATTTTAAGCAGCCAACATCAACATCGGGTTTCAGGCTTTTGCATAAAGAAACAGCCTTTAGGAAACCCTCAACATTCAGGATTTTGTTCTGATTCAAACTTACAAAGAACAATTTTTAGTTGAGAGAAACAAAAAATTCCAGTTGAAAGACGCCTTAAGATTCAAATTGGACCAACAGACAGGAGAAATAAATGAGGCCAGTCCAATATTTAACATTTCAGTGTCCATTTTAAGCTGAAAGGAACAGACATCTACAGACACAATTTCTTCTTTCTCTCCTATAAAGGGCACTGTAATAGTTATCCTAAATTCTGGTATAGTATGAAGAAGCCTGGATTAAAGAGGCAAGAGACTAAGATTTTAATTTGCAGTTAATGGCAGCTGGAGAATAAATTTAGCACGCCATTCTACCACTGTGGGTAATGGAACAGAAAACAAGTCCTTTTTTTTGTTTCTTGACACAGAGTTTCGCTCTGTCACCCAGGCTGGAGGGCAGTGGCACGATCTGGGCTCACTGCAACTTCAGCCTCCTGGGTTCAAGCAATTCTCCTGCCTCCACCTCCCAAAGTGCTGTGATTACAGGTGTGAGCCACCGTGCCCAGCCAGAAAATATGTCTTTTTGATGAAGAAGCTGAAGTGGATGACCTTCTGAGTCTAAGAAAACTGTTTGGGACTTGGGTATTCAGTAGCCATGGAATATACATCCCAAAGAGCAGAAGAAACCGTAACACTAGACCCCAACATCAAAAATATGTTGCTATTTTCTCCCACATTGCTGGTAGGGGTGCAAACTGGGACACTTTGGCAACTTACATTAAAATGCTATGAGAGAACAGGGGAAGCATTCCTTAAAAGTTCTAGGAAAGGTGTTATGGAGGAGGTAGCATGAGAAATTCAGCCAAGTGGGAAAAGCACAAACCTGGGAGTCAGAGAGACAAGAGTTTGAATCCCTGGCTCTGCCATTAGCCAAATATGGAACCATGAACAAGTTATTTAACTTCTCCTCGGCTCAGGTGCATCATCTGAAATATGGGGCTAATATAATAATAGGCAAGCTCAGTATTTCCCCAAATGTGGGAGAGTTACACAGGATGAATTTAAGTGATATTCAGAGGATTTTAGGAGATGAACAAGCACAGTATTAAACATTGAACCACATCATGAGAAAATATGGTTCTTTTCAGCACTTCTTCAGCCTATATATAACATTCTTAGTACATTAAGGAGTAAGCGGCCGGGTGCGGCGGCTCACACCTGTGATTCTAGCACTTTGGGAGGCCGAGGTGGGTGGATCACCTGAGGTCAGGAGTTGGAGACCAGCCTGGCCAACATGACGAACCCCATCTCTGCTAAAAATACAAAAATTAGCCGGGTGTGGTGGCATGCACCTGTAATCCCAGCTACTAGGGAGGCTGAGGCAGGAGAATCGCTTGAACCCAGGAGGAAGAGGTTGCAGTGAGCCGAGGTGGTGCCACTGCACTCCAGCCTGGGCAACAGAGCAAGACTCGTCTCAAAAAAAAAAAGGAGTAAGCTTTTGTTTAGTCTTCTTTTTGACACCTCTTTAATGCTTGCTAATTCCCTTTTCAACAAAGTAAGAGAAGTCTCATTGTCAGCTGGGGCCTTTGGGAACCAATAGTTTATCTTATACATAGACTGTGAGAAAAATAATTTGTCTTCATCCTAATTATTTTTAAAATTACCTTTCATTTATGATAACTCATATTGGTTTTCCAATTACAGGTCAAATATAAAGTTATTTTAAAATATATTGATGATTACAAAAATTTGAGTCAACTTGAGTGGGCTGAAATGCTACCTATCTCAGAGTTCCAGTGAAAATTAAATGAGATCATATATAAGAAGAACTAGCCCATGCTGTGTTCCATCACCCACGGTCTGGTTGATGGGTAAAATTTCAGTAGGTGAGGAATATGAGCAGAAGATCAAGTGTGAACCAAGGCAAATACATGAGATGGACATGAGATTCCAGAACAATGAGGAGCCAAACAATGCCAGGAAGGGGTTCTTAAAGTAGAAGATGAAAACCTGTAGAGAGAGACTCATTTAACAGGTACCAAACCATACTATATGTTAATCAGTCTGGTGAGAAAACCAGCTATAGTTCCTTCGAGCATGTGTCTTATAATCCAGGACAAAACTATCAAAGTGGGTCACAGTCTTATTTCAAAGAGCCTTGAATGCCAAGCAGAAAGAGATCATTAATGGTGGCAGATTCTTAAAAGTCTTTTGACCTCTGTCCAGCACCTAGTACTTTCCACAGTACATGGTGTTTAACAAACATTTGCTGAACAAATAAATTTGTTTAATAGCACTATAGGTGTATTAGTGCATTTAATTTTCAAATATAAATATGTATTGTTGTTGTTAATATCATATCTTCTTCTTCCTTCTCTCTCACAGTACCAGACAACAGCCTAACCCCAACTAAGGTAAACTCTGCCACCAAACATGCCTGGGAATGGAGAAGGGTCTGCAGGTCAGTGTAAGCTCATCAGTCTGGGCCTTCACTTTCTCCCTGCCTTTCCAAGGAAAGCTGCTGCTTGCATCAGTGTTGCCTTTATGTCAAAGTGTATCACCTAAATACCAGATCCAACAGATTTCAAGCCACCACCCTCCAAAGACTTGCTTCTTCAAGAAAACAAGCGTGGTTTGACTCTTGTGAAAAACAATTACTCCCAACCTGGCATCCTACAAGAATTTTGCAAAGCAAGGGTGAACAGGGATATGACAACCAAACATCTTCCTAGCAGCTCCTTCCCCCTCCCTGCTCCTGGCCAGAAACCTCTTCTTCCTTTTACTCCTTCTTCTTTCCACTTCTAATTTGTTATGATCTCTCAAACAACAAATTTGGTACAGTGCTTTAGAAAGCTTTGTGTCTTACCGACCTACCCCCAGTGAGGGTCTTCTGAGATACTTCAAACTATCCTCATGAGGTATAGTCCAATTCTCCTCCTAGGATGGGTACTAGCATGCTATTCTTGAAGGATGAATGAGCCTGAAGAGTTGGTTATGGTTTCCTTTCATCACCTATTGGCTTAACAGGAGTCCATTATAAGAAGTAAAACTTAGGCCGGGCACTGTGGCTCACATCTGTAATCCCAGCACTCTGGGAAGCCAAGGTGGGCAGATCACAAGGTCAGGAGTTAAAGACCAGCCTAGCCACCATAGTAAAACCCCGTCTCTATTAAAAAAATACAAAAATTAGCCGGACATGGTGGCATACGCCTGTAGTCCCAGCTACTCAGGAGGTTGAGGCAGGAGAACTGCTTGAATCTGGGAGGCGGAAGTTGCAGTGAGCCGAGATTGCGCCACTGCACTCCAGCCTGGGCAACATAACGAGACTCCATCTCAAAAAAAAAAGCAAAACCTACACCCAAAATGATGTCCGAGATGGAGAGTCCAATTTTATTTTAGAGAGATTTTCCAAATGGTGAGTCAGAAGCAAGAACAGTATCTCACTAAATCATGTTTACTCAACTGAAACTTATTGAATTAAACCAACTCCTCCTTCCTTTGCATTTCAGATGAGAACCCCTTCTGGTTCTATGATTCAAATCTTCATTCACTCAAAGCAGGTAAATAGGAAATTTCAACAGCTTCCTCTCCTCCCTCTCATTCCTTTCTTCTGTCATCGATCTGATCAGGAATGCTCTGAGGCATTCCCTGGTTATTTTTTCTTTACCTCTCAAAATCCACATGGTATGTTACACTAATGCCCAGCATGTTCCTCAGATCTCTAGATGGCTCTAATTAAAGGACCACCCCTTCTTCTGAATACAGACCTGGGGTTAGAGGACATAAGAGCTTGAAGGGCTCTTTAAAAGTCAAGTAGTATCATTTTACAGACCAACAACCTAAAAAACAGAAAAGTAAAATGACTTGTCCAAGGTCACATGGCTTAATGGATTTGTGGGCATTCATGAACACCCTGTAATTACACATAAAATTTGGATTATATGAGCCCATGTGTATTTTTTCTGAAGAGAAAATCCGTATCTTTCTTCAAAGAAGTCAACAATCTCTTCCCCAAAATATAGTAACCACTGACAATTATATGCATATTTGAAAAAAAGTTTAACTAAAATTTAATGTTCCAAGTCTGAATAGTAATATGAATTGGTGATCTAGAATAAGAGTGGAACCTAATTTAATAACTGTCATTGTTATCATCTTTTTTTCTTTTCATGTCTGGGATATCAATGCAAGTAACATGGGATAAAGACAATTTGATGTGGAAGTAAACTATAAAGCAAGATTTTTGTTTTGTTTTGTTTTGTTTTTTTGAGATGGAGTCTCGCTCTGTGCAGTGGCACCATCTCGGCTCACTGCAATCTCTGCCTCCTGGGTTCAAGCGATTCTTCTGCCTAAGCCTCCTGAGTAGCTGGGATTACAGGCTTGCACCACCACGCCCAGCTAATTTTTGTATTTTTAGTAGAGACGGGGTTTCACCATGCTGGTCAGGCTGGTCTCGAACTCCTGACCTCATGATCCGCCCACCTTGGCCTCCCAAAGTGCTGGAATTATAGGCAGAAGCCATCGCGCCCGGCCTAAAGCAAGCTTTTAAAATCACTGAAAACACTCGTATGAATAAATTTCACTATAGGCCAAGCATTATATTATACGGTTCACATTATACACAAACACAAATACCTATTTTACAGATGATGAAACTGAGGCAAAGAGTGATCAGCAACTTGCCTAATGTCAGATATCCATTAGTAATAACCAGAATTCCAATCTACATTAATTTGACTCTGATATCCATGTTCTTTTTCACCAATATTTGCATCTATACTCCAAGATGTCCTAATACTAATATTCTATTTACTTATTTAGAAGAACTAAATCAACTCTCTAAGGTAGCTTCAAGGAAGTCTTTCATAAATGGTTCAACTACTAAAAAGTTCTTCCTGGGAAATATCATAAACTAAATACCAGCTATCACAAAATATCTGGACTTTAAGACTAACCAGATAAAATGTTTTGACTTCCAAATGCTTCTTGGAAGTTGGATTTGGCAGAGAAAACACCGGGGAATTTTAAACAAACACCCCCCAAGAAAAGACTTTATAGAAGAATAGATCCAATGCATATGAAGTTACTGTTTTTTAAAAAAGTGTTTAAATCTCTAAATTACTTAGTGAGTCATGTCACTCTTATTAACAAAAATAAATTAATATACAACTCAAAGTACTTGAATATGGAATGCCACAGACTAGAGCATTTTCTTAAATCACAGCTGCCTCAGAAACGGAAATGAAACTGAGCGAAACTGAAATGTTTGTTCTACAAAAAGTAACCTGGCCTAAATAACTTAAGTATGCACTAAAATTTCTCAGTCTAACATAAACCTAGCCTTAACTACAGTTGTTTCTCATATAACTCTATTTCTAATGCTTTTCTGTGATTACCCTGTTATCTTAAGTAGTCTTTTAGAAGACAGGAAGCAAACATGAGCTTCCCATTCTCCTTGTTGGACTTATTCAAGTCAGCATTTATTAAATTTTTTCCATATTAAGTGGGATGAATTAAGGCCAGGGGAGAATGAATCAAAGACCTTCCTCTAGAGAAGCATACACTCAAGAGGAAGACAAATAAATGTTAACTGTAATTAAAAAACAGAATTAAATACATGATACAAAGAGTGCTGTAATCCAAGTCTAATGGAAGTAAAGAGAAGGGGATCTTACTTTCAACTTAGTGATGGGAAGGAGTGGATCCAGAAGAGCTTCATGAGGAGGGAAGCATTTAAATCGGGTCTTAAAGGAGGTTTGCAAAAGCTAAAGGGTTTTGTACCAACTTTGTTTTCAACATGGGAAAGACAGGATTTCAAACTTTATTTTGTTTTAGGAACCAAATCCAGTGCTCCTCCATTGTTGGAATAAATGCTCTTTGCCTGAATGCTATTTGTGGTCTTCGTAGAATGGAGAGTAACTGAAGGCCCCACCGGAAATCAATTTTATGTAAGCTTTTCATTCTCTGGCCTCAAGTATTTCTAAAATGTACCTTTCTATGCAGGCTACTTATTCAGGCAACTATTTTCAGGTGAAGATACTCAAATGAAAATAGAGAATCCCTTTTGGCCTTTTGCTAATATTTCATTTGTCAAAACTTTGATAGTCTGACAAAGTCTTTACCATGAGATTGGTAAACTCACGGAAGCCAAACTGTCTGGGATGCGACTTCAGCTCCACTACTTACGAACTCCATAATAATGTACCTAGCCTGCCTATACCTCAGTTTCCCATCTATAAAGACAATAAAAGCACCTATTTCACTCATGAGAATGAACTGAGTTATTACACGGAAAACTTAAAAACATATCCAACATACCATAAATCAACAGTAAATGTAACTATTTTTACCAAGAGGTGTCTTCAAAGAGTTTATTTCTAATTCATTACACCAATTAATAAGAAAGGCACTTTCTCATCCTATTTCACTTTTACAAGGCAGACATTTTTTTTCAAGACGGAGTCTCACTCTGTCGCCCAGGTTGGAGTAAAGTGGCACGATCTCGACTCAGTGCAACCTCCGCCTCCCAGGTTCAAGCAATTCTTCTACTTCAGCCTCCCAATCCCAGTAGCTGGGATTACAAGCACCCACCACCACGCCCAGCTAATTTTTGTATTGTTAGTAGAGACGGGGTTTCACCATATTTGCCAGGCTGGTCTTGAACTCCTGACCTCAAGTGATCCTCCTGCTTTGGCCTCCCAAAGTGCTGGGAATACAACAATGAGCCAGTGCACCCAGCCAACAAGGCAGACTTTGAAACTGTGTTTATCTTCCAAAAATACGTATATCTTAAGAAAAAACTAAATTTGATTTCTAAACAGTAACAGCAGTAACAGAGAAATAGCTTATTTCAAAAGGTCCACAACTTCATCAAGGACAGGACAAGCAAGAATCATATTGTATTATAACAAATTTTTACAATTCACCAAAGTTAGGTTTTACAACTAAACTAACAGTTCACTTCTCTTTTTCCTTTGTTTCTTAGGCCCTTACAGCCTAATACTCTATCATTCCATTTTCTATAGATCACATAGGAAAACATTTTGAGATCACACAGCTATTCGCAAACATCTGACTGAAGCAATAGTATAGTTTTCATTATGAACCAAGTAAAAAATTGAGTTGAGTAAATTTTATTCTATTCTTTCCAGGATGTTGCAATCCCTACGCAACCAAGGTTTCAAGTTAAAGAGAATTTGGCTGACCCACTCACAGCAACAAGGAAAATATGATACAGGCTGTAGATTCTGATAAGGATTATAGCAGATGAATGTAGAGAATGTGGTGATCATCCTTGAAAAGCTCCCTGGTTGCAGCAGCTGAAATGTTAGTGCTGGAGTTAAAGAACTCTGGCTGGGTTCAAGTCTTAGCTCTGCCTCTTGCAAGGTATATAGCCAGAGAAAAATTAGCTTCTCATTTACTTAATCTTGTAAACTAGGGACAATAAATGGTTTTGTTGTGAAAATTCAATTAGCATTTGATGACCTGCACAGTGGCTTATGCCTGTAATCCCAGCACTTTGGGAGGCTGATGTGGGAGGATCACTTGAGCCCAGGAGTTCAAGACCAGTCTGAGCAAGATAGTGAGACCTTGTCTTTACAAAAAATTGTAAAAATTTAGCCAGGAGCAGTGGTGCGTGCCTGTGGCCCCAGCTCCTTAAGAGGCTGATGTATGAGGATCACGTGAGCGCAGGAGGCTGAGGTTGCAGTGAGCCTTGTCTGTGCAGCTGCACTCCACCCTGTGCAACAGAGCAAGACCCTATCTCAAAATAAATACAATGAATAAACACGTGAAAAACATTTCAAACAGTACTTGCCACACAGTGCTATATAAGTGTCTATTCAACACTGCAATAACTTTGGCCATTCATGGTTGTATCCACATGCAGATACGAAGATGGTTGCATTTTTTGGAGTAGGCCTTCTCTCAGCATAAACAAAACAAGTGTTCAGAATGATCTTTTAACATTTGATGCTAGAGTAAATGACCATAACAACTACTATAATGGTATTATTTATTTAATATCTGGATACTTAAAAAAATGTATTTGAGGCCAGGTGTGGTGGCTCATGCCTGTAATCCCAGCACTTTGGGAGGCTGAGGCTGGCAGATCACTTGAGGTCAGGAGCTTGAGACCAGCCTGGCCAACATGGTGAAACCCTGTCCCTACTAAAAACACAAAAACTAGCCGGGTGTGGTGGCACGCACCTGTAATCCCAGCTACTCAGGAGGTTGAGGCAGGAGAATCACCTGAACCTGAGAGGCGGAAGTTGCAGTGAGCCAAGATCATTCTACTGCGCTCCAGCCTAGGCAAAAGAGCAAGACTCCATCTCAGAAAAAAAAAAAAAAGAAAAAGTATTTGGTTTTAAAAGTATTTTAGAAATGCAAAAACCACATGCATTTTGATATTTTCTAGACATCTAGATATCTTCATAATTAGAAGAGTCTATCTAAGGTAATGTTCACTTATTCTAGCAGCTAAAAATGAAAACAGTGAAGACCTTAATTTGTAGCCACTACATATATAGCTTAAGTATCCCGGCTTACGGGAGAGAAGATCCCTTTAAAAAAAAAATTTAAATGGAAAAATATCCCAACCAACTCCTCTCCAAAAAGGTAAGTACTACAGAAGATAATAAAAAGCTAAGTCACTGAACTTCTTCAGTTTCATTCATTTTTTTATGTTTACAATGGGACTTCCTTGAGCAGAAGGAACCAATCCTTGAAAACAATCAATTCCTGATCACTCTTTTCCAATCCTGCACTAATGCACTGTCTCACACAAACCGAAAATATGTTCTAAGTCAAAATGTGTCCAGGGGTCGGGCGCGGTGCCTCACGCCTGTAATCCCAGCACTTTGGGAGGCCGAGGCGGGTGGATCAAGAGGTCAGGAAATCGAGACCATCCTGGCCAACATGGTGAAACTCTGTCTCTACTGAAAATGCAAAAACTAGCCAGGCATGGTGGCGTGCGCCTATAGTCCCAGCTACTCAGGAGGCTGAGGCAGGAGAATCTCTTGAACCCAGGAGGTGGAGGTTGCAGTGAGCCATATCGTGCCACTGCACTCCAGCCTGGGAAACAGAGCGAGACTGCATCTCAAAAAAAAAAAAAATGTGCCCAGGGTCCATTATAGGCCTGCACTCGTAGAAATACGAGGGTTGAGATTTCAAATGCTCATCTGCAGGGGAGACAACATATCACACGTGTCCAGGTTACAGTCAGATATGTCATTCTGGAACACTATGCGGGTGCTCAAATACAGACTCCTAAATTGCTCTGACAACAGTAGCAATTCTAGTCCCTTAAATGGCTTGTAGTCATCGTGAAGGCTGAAGACCCACTTCCCCGGTCCTTCTGATTGTAAACCAATGTTTTCCTAAAATTCCCTAGCATTAATTATTTTAATGGTTTGTGGAATTATTTAATGGTTTGTGGAAGCACTTGGGAAACAGGCTGACAATGGAAACTTTGTATTTGAAAAATATTGTAATATCTGTAGAGGTTCTACTCAGGAATACTTTCCATGCTTCCATACTTTCTCTGATTTAGGAGAAAGTTTCTCAAGAGAATGATACTCTCAACAGAAACGGAAAGTTTCTCAACAGAAAGCCTCCATTATTTTTGTGGTAGGTATGAGAAGAATAGGTTGAAATAAAAGGGGAGATGAAAACTTAAGGACTTTAAGTTTTGTTTGAAAAGAAGATCATAATTTAAGTCTGGGTTCTAAACTACGGCCGTTAAAAAAAAAAGAAAAAAAAATCAAGAAAATTCCACTCTTTAACTTGGGGGAAATTTTTGTGAGGTTCTCTTCGTGGGAAGCAGGGATTCGGCCATGGAGGGCAAGTGACTTGCTGATTTCAGTACCCAGAAGGTTTTTTTAAATATGAAATTTGTCCACTATGAGATGAATGTGTATATACTACCCATTCTCTTCTTGAAGTGTCAATGAAAAGTCGGATTTTAAAAGCTAATGGTATCAGTGCTGCAAAGGCAGGCCAATTACTGCCAGTGCCAGACAACTTTTTTCTTTGTTTATTTTTAATCTTATTTCTTTGCTTCTTTTTGATAAAAGATATACCTAAAGAGGCACCTACACATAACCCTGGCACCGTCCGCCGCCCCAAGAACCTTCCTGCTTTACCAATGGCCTGGGAGTTGGCAAACACGCTAACAAAAAAAAAAACCAAAAAAACAAAAAAAAAAAAACAAAACGGGCTTTCGCCTCAACCTCATAGTTCCTCCCCGTCTGCAACCACCGGTCTTCACCGGATTCACAGTCGGAACCGCGAGCAAAGACACCTAGTAGAGCCGGCCGATTCCTAGGTCCTCCGGCCAGGAGGCGCTGCGGGCCAGTCTCCGGGGGCCACCGCAGCCCGCGCGCCCAGCACCCCCACCCTCACGGCAGAGCCCAGCCCAGCCCCGCGGCGGAGCTCCGAGTTCTGCGCCGCCCGCCGGGGTTACTCCCGGTCATTCCACGGCACCACCTCGGCCCAGCTTCCCCATCTGCGCCCAGGCAGAAGCTGCCCCGAGAGACCAGCAGCAACGGTCTGGAAGATGGGGCTGCAGGGAACGTGGGAGAGGGAGGATTGGGCACCCCACCTCCGGGTCTCCGCAGGCTCTCCTAAGTCTTGTTTTTAAAAGAAACAAAACTCGGCCGCGCGCGGTGGCTCACGCCTATAATCCCAGCACTTGGGGAGGCCGAGGCCGGTGGATCACCTGAGGTCGAGGGTTCGAGACCAGCCTGGCCAACAAGTTGAAACCCCGTCTCTACTAAAAATACAAAAATTAGCTGGATGTGGTGACGCGCCTGTAATCCCAGCTACTCAGGAGGCTGAGGCAGGAGAATCGCTTGAACCCGGGAGGCGGAGGTTGCAGTGAGCGGAGATCGTTCCATTGCACTCCAGCCTGGGCGACAGACCGAGACTTAAAGGAAAGAAAAAAAAGAAAAAGAAAAGGAAACAAAACTCGTCCGCGCTCTGCGCCAGGGACACCAGCTCAGCTGAGCGCACGGAGACTGTAGGCAGGACCTCCCTACCCCTCAGGTCAAACAAAGACCCAAGGCCTCTAGTGAGCAATAGCACCACGGACCGTTTGGGACACCTCCAACTCGAGTTCCCGGATTCACAGTCCGGGACTGTGCCGCTCCAGTCCCGGGGAGCATATAGCCAATTCCCAGGTCAGAACAGACCAGCTTCTTAAGAACCGAGTGAAGACTCAGTGCTGGCATTTGTCTCCGTAGGTACTGGCCGACCTGCAACCAGAAGGGTTTCTAGCCAGCTCAGGGCCCTCCGAACAAAGCAGCGCTCGGTGCCGGACCTGCAGCTCTCCCCACCCGGCAGCAGCGCCCTCAGCACGCCCGGGAACCCCCGACCCCTCTGAGCCCGGGGTACTGCGCCCGGGTCTCCACGCCCAGAGATGCTCCCCGGTCTCCACCGTCGGGCAAGCCCCAAGCGCAGCAGCGCAGAGTCCTGGGGTCACCAGAGCTCGTACTAGGACATCGTCTCCCCATTTAACACCGCCTCCGGTCCCATCTGAGTTGCAAGTGGTGGGGATGTGGGGCTCCGGATCAAAGTCCCCGAAACCGAGCACTTCCCGAAGCCTCCTTGGCCTCGAAACAAAACAATAACGCCCAAGTAAGTCACTGGAGAGCCTCTTACCTGTTTTCCACTTTTGTGTTTGCGTCTCTTTCTCCTACCCCTTGACAAGCCTTCCGGAGAAGGGGAGAAAACAGAACCGGGGAAAAAACAAGGAGCAAAGCGCCCTGAGAACCGGCTCTGTTGGTGCGCGGAGCTCCCCGCCCTGCCCTGCCGCAGCCCGGGAGAGAAGGGTCGGCTCGGCTCTGCGGGTCCCGGCCCCACTCACTCTCGCTCGCAATTACGGGGTTTTTGCCGGGACTAGTTCCTTTTATAGATTCGGCTGCACCGAGCGCAGAGGTTACTATCGGTCAAAGCCTGTGCTCTCCCTCCTCCCCGCCCCGTTCCCGGCCTCTGTTTATGTAGTTCAGTCACTCAGCAGAAAGCACGTGGAGCCGGGGCCCGCCCCTTAAACGGGCGACGTTCAGCCGCCCACGACACATCTAGGGAGTTGGGGGGAGGTGGGTGGGGTGGGGGTGGAGGGTACAGCAGGTGTCTTAGGGTCCGCGGTCTGCGTCCCCTTCCCCCGCCCGGGCCCGCCGGCCTAAGACGCGCGGGAAGCGCTGGGCTCGGGGCTGCGCCGCAGACTCTCTAGTCCACGTTCCCGGCAGCCAAGGGCACCAGTGGAATTTGCTTCCTCTAAATCCTGCTTTCCGCAATTTTTTTTTCCTTTGTTAGTTTCCTCAGCCGGAGGGAGGGATTGGGGGAGAGAGAGCTCTAGGCTGAATCTCCCTCAGGACGCCAATCATTTTGTCTTGTCTTTTGTTTCCTTTCAAAGGCCTAGGCTGGGGTGAGGGGAAGGCGGACAGTCCTCTGGGTAATGGGCTGCTTTTGTTTTCCCCCCACAAACCTGGACTTTGATTTTTGATAGGCGACCTACTGCCTTGGAGATTCCCAGCCTGAGCTCCCCAGGTCCCTCAGAGGACCCGAGAGGAACATCTTACTGCTTCTCTTCATAAATTGAGAGGAAGGAGGCCACAAAAACAAAAAAAGAAACAAACAAACAAAAACACAGAACAATATGGACCAGCCCCCTTTTAATTTCATTATATTGATCAGCCTCCCTGTGATAAAAACACAGGACTTGTATTTAGTTTGTATACATTTGTGAAGTGCAGCCAGAGAATTGCAGTCGTGTAAAATTATGTAGCCACTCCAGACCTCCAACTTATCTGTTTGCCTTTGGCTGTAGGGGAGCAAAACTACCCAAAACACTGGAGGGGCAAAAAAAAAGGCAAGAGTAGGAATGCAGGCCTACACACCATATGTCTAAATATTTAAGTCATCCATCAAGCCAACAAACTAAATGTCACCTTATTCTGGCCAAAACTCAGGTCAAACTGTGAAGAGTCTAAATATGAATCTGCCCTGAAGGGCAGATTCATAGAAGACTCAGGACAGACCCGTAGAAGAGGCCCAAGCAGGCCCTGGAAGTGCACGTGGAGGCCACAAGGTCTCCTACCTTGACAAAGATACCTTTGTAGCCACCTTGAAGGGCAGATTCACATTTAGACTCTTCACAGTTTGACCTGAGTTTTGGCCAGAATGAGGTGGCATGAGAGAGCTGCCCCAAGCCTACTTCTCTTCCCACCTCCAGCTCCATCATATTCCAGAACTCCCACCACCTGCATACAGACATTCAGCTGCACAAGCCCCCTCCATGCTACAGTCAACAGGATCTCCAGGCCACGGCTCAAGCCCAGGTACTCACATCAGTGGTTCTATCAACACTCAGGACAGACCCATAGAAGAGGCCCAAGCAGGCCCTGGAAGTGCATGTGGAGGCCACCAGGCAAGGAATTCTGGAGTCCCAGGTACTCATAACTCTGGGTGGCATGGCCCCTTTGCACCATGGACTGTTTGCCCTTAGAAAGGGATGGATCTGAGCTGGGCGCAGTGGCTCATGCCTGTAATCCCAGCACTTTGGGAGGCCAAGGTGGGCAGCTCACCTCAGGTCAGGAGTTCGAAACCAACCTGGCCAACATGATGAAACCCAGTCTTTACTAAAAATACAAAAATTAGCCAGATGTGGTGGCGAGCGCCTGTTATCTCAGGAGGCTGAGGCAGGAGAATCGCTTGAACCCGGGAGGCAGAGGTTACAGTGAGTCGAGATCATGCCACTGCACTCCAGCCTGAGTGACAGAGCAAGACTCCGTGTCAAGAAAAATAAAAAGAAAGGGATGGATCTCAGAAAGGCCAGAGATGAGCTTTCTAAAGCCCAAGGCCCAGGAGAGCGGACCCCCTTGCCTCAGTCAAAGAATAACCTTGGTCAATAAATTGGGTTTTGGGGTCAAACTTGACAACCACATGATGAGCAATTTACGTAAAGTCTTTCTGCCTCTGTTTCATCTTGTTTTTTTCTTTTTTCATCTTTTTTTCCTTCCTTCCTTCCTTCCTTCCTCCCCCCCTCCCTCCTCCCCTCCCCTCCCCTCATCTCCTCTCCTCTCCTCTTTCTTTCTTTCTCTTTCATTTCTTTTTTTTGAGACAGGGTCTTGCTCTGTCTACCCAGGCTGGAGTGCAGTGATCCAATCATGGCTCAGTGTAGACTTGACTCCCTGGGCTCAAGCGATCCTCCCACCTTAGCCTCCCAAGTAGCTGGGACCACAGGTGCATGCCACCACACCCATCTAATTTTCGTATTTTTTTTGTAGAGACAGGGTTTTGCCATGTTATCCAGGCTGGTCTCAAACTCTGGAGCTCAAGCGATCCTCTGGCCTCAGCCTCCCAAAGTGCTGGGATTACAGGCATTAGCCATTGTGCCCGGCCTGTTTCTTCATCTTTAAAATGGAGAGAAGATGTATATTCTGTCTTCCTCAAAGGGGTTTTCTGAAAGTGAACTTTGTTGAAACCTTTGAGCTCCTTGGCAGAATGATGTTATAAAAGCAGAGAGTGTTATTAAAAGGTGTTATCTTTCCTAGCATGATTTTAGAGAGTAATTAGATCTCCCTGACCCTCCATCTCCTCTCTCCTTCTTCTCCTACCTATTTGAAGTCGACCACCAAAATCATTATTTTTTTTTTAATTGAGATGGAGTTTCACCTTTTGTTGCCCAGGCTGGAGTGCAATGGTGCGATCTGGGCTCATTGCAACCTCCACCTCCCGAGTAGCTGAGATTACAGGCACCTGCCACCATGCCCGGCTAATTTTTTATATTTTTTAGTAGAGACGGGGTTTCACTATGTTGGCCAGGTTGGTCTCAAACTCCTGACCTCAGGCGATCCACCTCAGCCTCTCAAAGTGCTGGAATTATAGGTGTGAGCCACTGTGCCCAGCCCAAAATCATTCTTTTTGGAATTTTGAAGCATATAATTCCAAAAGGTATGAAGGTAATCACTTAGATTGCTCTAATAAGGGAATGGGAACAGTTAAGTCCTATACAAATAAGACAAAGATAAGATACTACAAAAAGGGGATGAGCCCAAGAAAAAAATCAAAGTCCCAGAGAGAGAACAGCCATTGATTCTAAATACACAAGTCTATGGCCCCAACCCAAACTTGTTTCACTAAGAACAACCTGTGGTTTCGAGAATCTGGTCATCCCCCACAGTGAATACATGAACACATTGTAATGTTTGAAATGTTTATTTTTCTTGTTGATTTCTTACTGTTAGAAGAGCTAAGTGATTTGGCCCAAAGTGGCTAAGTGATTCGGCCAGTTTGTACACAGGGATATAAGTTTGCTGACACCAAGCTCATACTTTACAAATGTAATATCTTCATAAAACAAAAATACTGGGCCGGGCGCGGTGGCTCACGCCTGTAATCCCAGCATTTTGGGAGGCCGAGGCGGGCGGATCATGAGATCAGGAGATCGAGACCATCCTGGCTAACAGGGTGAAACCCCGTCTCTACTAAAAATACAAAAAATTAGCTGGGCATGGTGGCAGGCGCCTGTAGTCCCAGCTGCTCGGGAGGCTGAGGCAGAAGAATGGTGTGAACCTGAGAGGCAGAACTTGCAGTGAGCCCAGATCACACCACTGCACTCCAGCAGAGCAAGACTCAAAAATATATATATACTGAATCTCAAAAGCTAGAGCCTAAGAGATGCCCCTTAAAAAAGAAGCTTACAAGTGTGAATTTTCTTCCCTCCAGCCCTTAGGTTGGTTTGTCTTTTAGTATATTTCAATAAGCTTCCCCCTCCCCATCCCATCCCTGCCCCCCACACCAACACCAAAACCCCAAGTCCCTCCTCTAGGTGACTCCTTCCAAATACATAGGAAGGCCCTCCTTTGTTGCTGTTTTTCTGGAGAGGCTGATTCTGTAAATGTAGCCTGGGTGGCTTGAGGTTCTATTCTGAGATGACCCTGGCATCTTCTAATTACAGAATCAACCTTCAGGCAGCTGTGGCCTTGCAGACTCTGCTGGAGGTCATGGAACTACAGAAAAGCTCAATCTTATCATTCTATTGAGGCTTTTAAATTGGAGATTACCTAAATGGCATTGTTTGGAGGTTGCTTTGATATATGTTAACTCATCTGCATAAATGTACATGTACACATTGTTTAAAATACCAATGATACTGGTTGCTAGAAACTCTGAAAAAATAGAGTAATGCAGGAAGTCAATGAAGAATAAAAAATAATATATTTTAAAATGATGTTTTAAGATGAATTTGTTATGATTAAGAAGACCTGGTGGGGCACGGTGGCTCATGCCTATAATCCCAGCACTTTGGGAGGCCAAGGCGGGCAGATCACTTGAGGTTAGGAGTTTGAGACCAGCTTGGCCAACATAGTGAAAACCTGTCTCTACTAAAAATACAAAAATTAGCTGGGCGTGGTGGTTTGCACCTATAGTCACAGCTACTCGGGAGTCTGAGGCAGGAGAATCACTTGAATCAGGGAGGTGGAGGTTGTGATGAGCCGAGATTGTGACACTGCATTCCAGCCTGGGCAACCCAGCAAGACTCAGTCTCAAAAAAAAAAAAAAAAAAAAAAAAAAAGACAAATGCCTAATAGCTGAAATCTTAGAGATTTTCTGGAGAGTGAGAAATGCCTTAAAATAAAATAAATAAATAAATAAAAAATAAGAGGGATAAAAGGACCTGCAGTTCAAATTGAGTCAGCTTAATTCCAATACACAGTTAGACACAGAAACAAATCGAGCAATCAATGGTCAAATAAAAATGTACCAGGAACCATCATTATTTGTGCAGTAGACCGTGTATTGCAGAGGCTCTCAATCAATTCAATTTAATTGGACCAATGTGATCCTCTTCTGTATTAATGTGGCTCCTGTTGACATGCAAGCAAGATTCAAAATTATTATTGCTTCTGGACTTGAGTAAGATGTTTGTTCTGTTTGTCATTGGGATCAAGAGGTTAGCCTTGGCTGGGCACTGTGGCTCTGGCCTGTAATCCCAGCACTTTGGGAGGTTGAGGCGGGTGATCACTTGAGGTCAGGAATTTGAGACCAGCCTGACCAACATGGTGAAACTCATCTCTACTAAAAATTCAAAAAAAATT
This sequence comes from Homo sapiens, assembly GCF_000001405.40. NCBI lineage: Eukaryota > Metazoa > Chordata > Mammalia > Primates > Hominidae > Homo > Homo sapiens. The sequence continues at coordinate 104,933,376 of NC_000009.12, forward strand.
TAGCCATGCATGGTGGTGCATGCCTGTAGTTCCAGCTACTTGGGAGGCTGAGGCAAGAGAATTGCTTGAACTGGGAGGCAGAGGTTGCGGTAAGCCAAGATCATGCCACTGCACTCCAGCCTGGGTGACAGAGCGAGACTCCGTCTCAAAAAAAAAAAAAAAAAAAAGTTAGCCTGCTGGATTACAGACAAGTACTGCATATTCCACTGGATTTCTAGTTGATTAGTGAGTGATAATTCTTTTTAAAAACCACCCTTCCAACCCTCTTTCCTTCAAGCTATCCCCTTAAGAGCCAAACTGCTGGAAAGATTTCATCTCTACCCCCTCCCTTTTATTAACACCTCACCCACTGCAGTCAAATTTTCACTCTCACAGCTCTGAATCTATTCTGCCCAAATTCATTAACGACTTCCTTAGAGAGAGAGAGGCCAGGGACGGGTTGGGGGGGCAAATGTGATCTCTTTTTTTCTTTTTCTTTATAAAATATTTTTAACATAGAAAAATAAAGAAAAATATCTTAAGCTCAGAAAAACCGCTTAATTGGTGGTGCTGTTGACCTCTTTTAAATCCTTAGGCTATTCAGTCTCTGGTATTTGACACTACTGACCACACTTTCCTTCCTGAAACTGATTCCTCTCTTTTATTTCATGAATCTGGTTCTCTTCTGATTCTTCTGCCTCTTTAACCACTCTTTTTCTGACTATTGTTTCTTTATAGATCTCCTAATACTGGTTTTCTCTTTTCATTTCTACTTGCTCTCCTCATCAATATTATTCACGCCCTTGGCTTCATTTAAGCCCTGTACCTCCAGCTCTTGTCTCCTTGCCAGGCTCACCCACCGTGCGCCCTATGCTGCCTGGTAGAATATCCAGCAGCATGGTGTGTTGGAGCCAGCACACAAGCTCACAAGAGTTGTTTTTGCATATCTCTTTTTGTTTGTTTGTTTGTTTGCATATCTCTACCAGCTAGCTTGAAATCGGCCAACGGCATGAATATTACACCATTGGAAATCCAATATAAATCAGTGTCGATGAAAAGAGTAAAACTCTGTAAAATATTTAGAGATTTATGGTGAGCCAAATATGAGTGATCTTGGCCCTCAGGAGACAGCCCTCAGGAGATCCTAAGAACATGCACCCAAGGTGGTTGGGGTGCAGCTTGGTTTTTAGGGAGATATGAGACTTCAATCAAATAAGTTTAAGAAATACATTGGTTCAGTTCAAAAAGGCAGGGCAACTTGAAGTGGGGGCTTCTAGGTTATAGATAGATTTAAAATTTTTCTGGTTGACAATTGGTTGAGTTTATCTAAAGACCTGGGATCAATAGAAAGGAAATGTCTGGCTTAAGATAAAGGATTGTGGAGACCAAAGTTCTCAGTGTGCAGAGGAAGCCTTCAGGTAGCAGGCTTCAGAGAGAATAGATTGTAAATGCTTCTTAACAGACTTAAGGTCTGTGTTGATGTTAATGCCAGAGAGGCATAATGAGGCCTGTCCGACCCCCACTTCCCGTCATGACCTGAACCAGTCTTTCATGTTAAATTTTAAGAGTGCCCTTGCAGAGGAGGAAGTTCATTCAGATGGTGAAGGGGGGCCTCAGAATTTTATTTTTGGTTTACATCAGGGTTTTGTTTGGTTTGGTTTTTGTATGGAAAGCCACTTGTTAACATTTATTAGGACAAAATTTTGCAGGTCATTCTACAAGTAAATCCAAAACAAACAAATTTCTTGTCTTTCCTTCAAATCTCCTTCTACCATCTGCCTTTTTAAAAATTTTCATTTAATGATATCATCATCCAGACATTCACTATGGGAAATCATAGTCATCCTTGCTTAACTTTTTCATCTGTCTCTATCTTTCTCTTCTCATTTGAAAAAGCACCAAGGTCAGGTCAAGTATACCTCCCAAATATTTTATTTTTTTAATTCATCATTTATTTTTCATTCCCAGTGTCTAAGTCCAAGCCAAACATCTGGGCTTCTGTATTGCAGAACCTCCAAACTGCTGTTCCTGTCTCTAGTTTCTTCCCCTTCCTATTTGTCTTCCCTATTGCAGTAAAGTGATTTTTTGCTTGGGGAAAAAAACAAACAAGCAAACCAACACAAAAACAATCTAATCATATATTTTCTCCCTCCAAAAAAAAAAATTTCTTTTTTTTTGAGATGGAGTCTCACTCTGTCTCCCAGACTGGAGTGCAGTGGCACAATCTCAACTCATTGCAACATCTGCCTCCCGGGTTCCAGCAAGTCTGCTGCCTCAGCTGCCCGAGTAGCTGGAGTTATAGGCACATGCAACCACATCCAACTAACTTTTTGTTTTTTCAGTAGAGACGGGGTTTCACCATTTTGGCCAGGCTGGTCTCGAACTCCTGACCTCAAATGATCCACCTGCCTCTGCCTGCCACAGTGCTGGGATTACAGGCGTGAGCCACCGCGCCCAGCCCATCCCTCAAAATTTACTATGGTTCTCCTTTGCTCACAAAGGAAAAATACCCTCAAAGTTCTGTAAGAAGACCTACAAAGCCTCTGAAAACAAGATATTGGAAGGCCTTTGAAGCCTGATCATATGACCTGCTTCCTCCTCCATCCTCTTCCATCCATCCACACCCCACCCCTTACTCACCCCCATTCTACCAACTCACGACTCTCATCATACTTTCCCATTGCTTGGAAATGCTTCCTCTCATCTCCACTCCTGTCGTCCTGTTATGCTTTTATTCTAGAAGCAGTAGGAAAGAGGGGCAGAAAAAAGAAATTCACTTCCCTCATTAAATGGAAAGTTGTGAGATAGAGGGTATATGAAGAAAGAGAGAGAGATTTTTAAGTATCCAAATTGATAGGCAAATATTACCCCCAACTCAGATCCATTATCAAGTGTAACAATAGATTCACAGAAGCAGTCAGTACCCTTAAATTTGCCAAGAAAATAATTGGACTCAGGGGATTAAAAGAAATCAAGCGCTTATTATAATAGAAGTAGTGCATCTGCGTTTCTTTCCTTATTCAGAGTACTTTTTTGACACTTAAGAATCCATATTCCTGGCTGTGATTTCTGGGATGAGGGACTGTTTTATTTCTTAGCCAGGAGCTTTTCTTTTCTCTGACATATTAATAAGAGAGTAAGTCATTAGAAAAAAAAAAAATCCTAGGAAATGTTCCAGATACTGTTTTCTATTAGACTTCTAGAGAGACAATCCTCTTTCTCTTTCAGCATTTTGGGAACGATTTCTTCAGGAGTGCATGGTTTTTCCTTTGTTGCCCTCAATAGTCTGTGTTGTTTTGACCCATCCTTGCCCAGTATTCCTTATGACTTCTGGAATTGTCTGGACAGAAGAAATACTTTTGCCTTGTCAAAGGTTAAATGTGGAGATGTGCTATGACCCCACTGTGGGAGCAGGCCTTTTATTTTCCTTCTGTATCTCCATTCTTCTGGTGACTGACGTCCAGTGAAATTAGAGCAATTTCTTAGCTGGCTACTTGTCCTGGTGTGTAAATTAGTGAGGAATGAGCTCCATTCATAGAGTCCTGGGCTTGCCACAGAGCGGACCCCAAAGCTGGTTTCCCCTTGAGTGGCTCAATTACCTAACAGAGTTCAACAGGAAGCCCCCACATCTGCCTACTCACCACTGGGATTGGAAGCCCTGGACACACTGCCTGAATGAGAACAGAAAGCTAAGTTGGGGGTGCAGTCTTAAGGTATCTAAGGAAAATAGAATAGGAGGTTGGGGAAAAGAGGGAAAATAATGTAATCATACTCATAAAAACTGAGGGTGTTAGTAGGGTGCAAAGAGGCCCAACATTCTGATAGTTTAGCAAAATGTATCAAGAGGCTTTGGTCCAGGACCAGTGGCTCATGCCTGTAATCCCAGCACTTTGGGAGGCCGAGGCATGCAGATCACCTGAGGTCAGGAGTTTGAGACCAGCCTGACCAACATGGAGAAACCCTGTCTCTACTAAAACTACAAAATTAGCCAGGCATGGTAGTGCATGCCTGTAATCCCAGCTACTCAGGAGGCTGAGGCAGGAGAATTGCTTGAACCTGGGAGGAGGAGGTTGTGGTGAACCGAGATCACACCATTGCACTCCAGCCTGGGCAACGAGAGCGAAACTCCGCCTCAAAAAAAAAAAGCCTTTGGCCCACTAATTTTACTTGGAGGAATTTATACTAAGGAAATATCCGATAGTATGGTAAAAAAAACTTATGTTCAAGAATGTTGTCACTATTTTATTGATGAGTGAACATTTTAAAAATGCTTAATCATCTGATAACAATTCTAAAATACACATTGATAAATTCACATGATAGAATGTTATATAGCCATGAAAGGTGAAAATAATGTTTTCAAAGAGTTGTGATATAGGAAACTGCTCATGGTAAATGCGAATTGAAAAAAAAAGCAAAGCTATATTTATGTGTATGGTTAACATTCAATAAAAAATAACTGTTACTATATTGATAACCTTTTTCATTGAATATATGTGCCTAGAAAAGACTGCAAAAAAAAAAAAAAAAGAAAAAGAAAAAAGAAAAAAAAAATCCCAGATAGGTGCTAACAGCAATCACCTGTGGATGGTAAGATTATAGGTAATTTTTTCATATATGTCTGTATTTTACAAAATTTATAAAATAAACACATGCTATATATATGTATACACACACACACACACACACACACACACACACGTAAATATTTATATATATATATATATATATACTTTATTTTTTGAGACAGGGTCTCACTCTGTTGCCCAGGTTGGAATGCAGTGGCCCCATCTCGGCTCACTGCAACCTCCACCTCCCGGGTTCAAGCGATTCTCCTGCCTCAATCTCCTGAGTAGCTGGGACTACAGGTGCCCATCACCATGCCCGGCTAACTTTTTTTTTTTGTAATTTTAGTTGAGACAGGGTTTCACCATGTTGGCCAGGCTGGTCTCAAACTCCCAACCTCAGGTGATCCACCCGCCTCAGCCTCCCAAAGTGCTGGGATTACAGGTGTGAGCCACCATGCCCAGCCTTATATGCTATTTTTAAATTTAGAAAAATGATATGAAAAATAGAGTTTTTCAAAAAAAAAAAGAAAAATAGAGTTTGTCAATAATTAGTAGGAGGAAAGAGTTTATAAATGAAGAAAGGCAAACAAGAAATTAACACATGGAAACAGCAAATCCTAACATATTTTAAAAGCATGTGTACATAGTAACAAAGAACAGAAGAGAATTTGGAGAGACAAAAATAGTTAAGACAGATTTGATGAGTAGGTAAACTGTAAAAGAAAATAGAATTTTAGACCAATCATAAGAGTTTACTACTAAATGAAAGTCCTGTGTGTTTAAACCTTTCTGCTTATCTGATCTTCTGACTTATCCTTCTTATCTGCAGATCATATCTGGGTGTCCATCAGCATGTTACTTCACATCTCTGTACCTCAGTTTATTCATCTTTCAAATGGAAGCAACATATAGAGCTGCCTTATAGAGTTGCTCTGGGTATTAGATGTATAATATATGTGAACTGCTTGGTACTGGGCCTGGTATATGGTATGTGCTCAATAAATGATAGTTGTTTATTATTGTCATTTATTATCATCATCATCATCATCATAATTAAATATTATTCCAAGCAACAATGTGTTCCTCATAGTCCAACAATAATTTAATAAATGTAACCTTTCCAAAACTCCGATCTGCAAATTTTAAATAAATATTTTCAATTAAATTAATCAGTATGAATTATTCACCAGCCTGGAGTTCAAATATGGTCTGCCTCTCTCCTCTCTCTCTGTCTCAGATGTGGGAGTCTTGCTTTCTCACCCAGGCTAGTGTAAAATGGCACAATCATAGCTCACTGCAGCCTCTAACTCCTGGGCTCAAGGGATCCTCCTGCCTCAGCCTCCTAAGTAGCTGGGATTACAGGCACGCACCACCACGCTTAGCTGATTTTTTAAAATTTTATGTTTAGGGACGGGGTCTCACTATGCTGCCCAGACTGATCTCAAACTCCTGGTCTCAAACAATACTCCCACCTCAGCCTCCCAAGTCACTGGGATTACAGGCACAAGCCACCACGCCCATCTCTCATATTTCTTTTTAATTTCCTATCTACTCACCCAAATACCCACCCATTTATTAGCAGAAAGTCCAGTATCTCTTTCATGTGATACCTCTCCCTCCTCTTTCTCTCTCTCGCTCCCCCTCCATCTATCAGAATTGCCTCAAAGCCCTGGGGTTCTAGAGATACGGGAAATCCAATCTGTTCACCATCGTGCACCATATTTTCAGTGGTCAGTTGTGCTGTCACTAGCATACAGTAGCATCACTGAAGACTAGTTGCACACCAGGGGCCCACTGGCCACACCCAGCTCTCTGACACATGGTTTGGGCTGAAGAGTGTTAGTATTTTGTTTGAAATAACCAACTAGGGCCGGGCGCAGTGGCTCACACCCATAATCCCTGCACTTTGAGAGGCCTAGGCAGATGGATCACCTGAGGTCAGGAGTTCGAGACCAGCCTGACCAACATGGAGAAACCCCGTCTCTACTAAAAATACAAAATGAGTCAGGCATGGCGGCACATGTCTCAGCTACTTGGGAGGCTGAGGCAGGAGAATCGCTTGAATCCAGGAGGCAGAGGTTGCGGCGAGCCAAGATCACGTCATTGCACTCCAGCCTGGGCAACGAGAGCAAAACTCTGCCTCAAAAAAAAAAAAGAAAGAAAGAAAGAAAAAAAGAAAAACAGAAATAGCCAACAAGTTTGGAAGTGTCACACAGAAATGTTTGTGTTTCTCATTTCTGTTGAAAAGGTGGAAGATCTCACCATACAAGACGTATTTCCACACAACAACAATCAGCTAGTACTGAAAAGCTCTCTTTAGATGGAGCATGCTGTTTGCACTTTGCAAAGTCCTCACTAATCCTTGTTTTTTGTTTTGTTTTGTTTTTGTTTTTGTTTTTGTATTTATTTTTGTTTTTGACACAGAGTCTCACTCTGTCACCCAGGCTGGAGTGCAGTGGTGTGATCTTGGCTCACTGCAACCGCCGCCTCCTAGGTTCAAGCAATTCTCCTGCCTCAGCCTCCTGAGTAGCTGGGATTACAGGCGCCTGCCACCGTGCCCAGCTAATTTTTGTATTTTTAATACAGACAGGGTTTCACCATGTTGGTCAGCCTGGTCTCAAACTCTTGACCTCGTGATCCGCCCGCCTCAGCCTCCTAAAGTGCTGGGATTACACACGTGAGCCACCGCACCTGGCCTAATCCCTGTTTTTCTCCAACAGTCTGCCTTACTCCTTTATACTATATGCCCCACCCCGTGTGGCCCCTTGGCCTAGAAGTTCATGGGGAGTAGGGGGAATTACACGAGTTGACGCTATTATATACTGCACCCTGAAAATGTGATGAGGGAAGTGGCTGAGAATATGAGTGTAGCAGGAAATGAATTACCTAAATCTTGGTAAGGCTAAACCTAGCTGATAGTCCTTTTACAATACTATGTAACTAAATTTTCATTTCTGTGTCAGTAATAAGAGTTGCATCTTTTTTTTTTTTTTTTTTTTTGAGACAGAGTTTCGCTCTTGTTGCCCAGGCTGGAGTGCAATGGCGCAATCTAGGCTCACTGCAACCTCCACCTCCCAGGTTCCAGCAATTCTCCTGCCTCAGCCTCCTGAGTAGCTGGGATTACAGGCACCCACCAGCACGCCCAGCTAATTTTTGTATTTTTAGTAGAGACAGGGTTTCACCACATTGGCCAGGCTGGTCTCGAACTCCTGACCTCGGGCGATCTGCCCACCTTGGCCTCCCAACATGCTGGGATTATAGGCATAAGCCACCGCACCCAGCCCCAAGAATTGCATCTTTTCTTAAAGACTGTCACCCTGAGTTTCTACTTTTGCTAGTTTGCATCTGATTTTTTTAGGCACATGCTTATGATTGTAACTGAACACAACTTGAATCACAAAGCGAAGAAAGACATTACAACCTCTAACAAAAACAACAGTACTCCTCGAAAATCTCACCCTTCACAAGTATCAAAGGCATAGTAAATTCAGCAGGGAAGAGTCAAAGAGGTCAGAAGCAACACTCTCTGTTGGTAACTAAAAATGAGACCAAAGATTACATCCAAACCCATAAGAGCCTGAAGTTTGACCCAAGTCCCTTTGTTTATTGAATGGAACCCTGTAGATAAACAAAGGAAGCAAAATGAAAAACACTTACCACCCCTTCACTGGGGGTGCACAATAAGACAAAAGCATTCCCAAATGAATCTTCAATGTGTGGGAGAGAAAGAGTTTTGAGTGACCTAAGATTGAATGAGATAATAGCACCTTATGTTTCTGTGAAATATTTGTCACCTTATATTTCTAGGAAATGACCAGTGTGTCATTCAAAAATGTAATACAATGAAAACGAAGTTTGAAGTTTCACACTCCTCATTTTCTTAAAACCATGCAAAGGCAAACAGAGATGTGATACTATGAGATTTCAAGGAAACTGCAGAGTCATAGTAATTTGATTCTAAAAACAGATGCTTGACAAGAAGTTATATTTAAATCAACCATCAATCTATCAGGACATAATTTCTGAAGTCAGTAATAAATAACCTTTCCATTTCATCCTCCCAATCACCATATGCATATAATTATGCTTTATGCTAAACAAGGTACATTATTTGATTTTTTTGTTGTTGCTGTTTTTTTTTGGTTTTTTGGGGGAATTTTTTCGGTTTTTTTGAGACAGAGTTTTGCTCGTTGCCCAGGCTGGAGTGCAATGGCGGGATCTCAGCTCAACACAACCTTCACCTCCTGGGTTCAAGCAATTCTCCTGCCTCAGCCTCCCGAGTAGCTGGGATTACAGGCATGTACCACCACACCCGGCTAATTTTGTATTTTTAGTAGAGACGGGGTTTCTGCATGTTGGTCAGGCTGGTCGTGAACTCCCAACCTCAGTTGATCCGCCCACCTTGGCCTCCCAAAGTGCTGGGATTACAGGCGTGAGCCACTGCGCCTGGCCTTTTTTTTTTTTTTTTTTTTTTTTTTTGAGATGGAGTGTCGCTCTGTGGCCAGGCTGGAGGGCAGTGGCATGATCTCGGCTCACTGCAACCTCTGTCTCCCAAGTTCAAGTGATTCTCCTGCCTCAGCCTCCTGAGTAGCTGGGATTACAGGTGCCTGCCACCATGCCCGGTTAATTTTTGTAGTTTTAAAAGAGACGGGGTTTCACCACGTTAGCTAAACTGGTCTCAAACTCCTGACCTCAAGTGATCCTTTCCTCAGCGTCCCAAAGTGCTGGGATTATAGGCGTTAGCCACCGCGCACAGCTGAATTTACATTTAAAATATCAAAAGCAATGCCTCAAAAATGTGGAAGAGTGTTTGTAACCCACACATACTGGAGGGTAAAAATTTAAGCCATGGAAATAATATTGTTGATCTCAGCAGTCCAAAAAATATGCAGCTAAATGCTCTCTTTTGTAGTGTATTTTGGCAGGCAATTTTGGAGGACAGGGTACAAGATATTTGAATAAGTCTGTTTTGATCCAGGAAAATTTTAACATGGTCTAAAATGCGAACCTTCAAGCTTTACATGAGTTTTTGTAAAAATTAAAATCAATTTTTAAAATAGATCAGTAATACATGCTCATAATCAAATGTCCAGACATAACAAAAGTAGAAAGACTATGAAAAAGATACAAAGAAGAAAATGAGAATCATTATAAACCCACTTCCCAGAGATAATTCTGTCCATTGTACCTTCTTCTAGAAATTGTTTCTAAACAAGTTTATTCCATATATATTGTTTGTAATCTATTATTTTCACTACATTATAGTGGACAGTTTTTCATGTAAACAAATACAGATTTTATCATCATTTTAAATGAATGTATAATATTTCACTGTACCTATGTATCACAACTTGAAAACAAATTCCTACAGATAGACATTTTGGTGTTTTGTTTTGTTTTTGGGACAGGGGTCTCACTATGTTGCCCAGGCTGGCCTGAAACTCCTGGACTCAAGTGTTCCTCTCACCTCACCCTCCCGAGTAGCTGGGACTACAGGTGCACACCACTTTACCTGGCTGGTTGTACCTCTTTTTTATAGTCATTTAAAAAATGCAGCCATGATCATCTTTGTATTCTCTTTGCACACGTACACAAAGTTTTTTGTTTTGTTTTGTTTTTTTTTTTTTTTTTTTTTTTGAGACGGATTCTCACTCTGTTGCCCAGGCTGGAGTGCGGTGGCACGATCTCAGTTCACTACAACCTCTGCCTCCCAGGTTCAAGTGATTCTCCTGCCTCAGCCTCCCGAGTAGCTCGGACTACAGGCATGCGCCACCATGCCCGGCTAATTTTTGTATTTTCAGTAGAGACAGGGTTGCCCAATGTTGGCCAGGCTGGTCTCAAACTCCTGACCTCAGGTGATCGTCCACCTCGGCCTCCCAAAGTGCTGAGATTACAGGCGTGAACCACCGTGCCCGGCCCCCAAAGATTCTTTAGCATAGTTTTGCAAAACTGGGATTGCTGAATAATAGAACAGACAAACTTTCCGTATTTATAGCAAAATTGCCCACCATAAAACTTGGTATCAATGTGTACTCTCACAAACAAGGTGTTAGAATGCCCAGGCTTTTTCTTTTTTCATTTTAAGAGAGTAAAAATGACTTTTTTTCTTTTGGTATACAGTTCTATGAATCTAAACACATGTATAGATTTGTGTTACCATGACCATAATTAGGATACAGATCCATTTCATCTCCCAAAAAAATTCCCTTGCATGTTCTTTATAGCCACACCCTCTCCACACACCTAAACCCCTGGCAACCGCTGATCTATTCTCTGTCCCCATAATTTTGTCGTTTCAATAATGTTATATAAATGGAATCCTAGAGTATGAAATCCTTCAGACTGACTTCTTTTACTCAGCATAATGCTTTTGAGATTTATCCATATTTGTTGCATGCATCAATGGTTCTGGGGTTTTTAATATTATTATTATTATTGCTAAGTAGTATTTCATTACATGGATGTTGCACAGTTGGTTTATCCATTCACACATTAAAGGACATTTTCTCTCAGTTTTTGGCAGTTATGAATAGAGCTGCTATAAAGATTCACTTACAAGTTTTTTGTGTGCAAGTATAAATTTTCCTTTTCCTAGCATAAATACCCAGGAGTGAGATTGCTGAGTCATATGGTAAGCGCATGTTTAACTTTACAAGAAACAGCTAAACTGTTCTCCAGGGTGGCTGTACCATTTTGTTTTCTCATCAGCGATGTCTGAGGGTTCCAATTGCTCCATATCCTTTTGAGCACTTGATATTTTCAGTATTTTTTACTTTAGCCATCCTAATAGATATATATTGGTATGAGTAAGCCTAGTTTTTCATCCCTTTTCAACAGTCTTATCAGTCTTTAACTTATGCCTACTATATATATATATATATATATATATATATATATATATATATAAAATGTATTATTGTTTTGATTTATATTTTCTTTGATTAAACTGAAAAATAATATGGATTAAATAAAAATAAAGATTAAACATCTTTTCATGTTTATCGGTGTTTAAAATCCAATGTTTATTCTTTCCTTATTTATCTGTTAAAAGCTCTTGTTAAACCAAGTGTTTCAACTTTCTGACTGTTACATGTGTTGCAAATATTTTTACCAGATTGCAATCTTATTTTAATCTGTAAATCTTTTCCTTTAGGGCGTCTGGCTTTGCTGTTTACAGATTCTTTCTCCATTTCAAGATGATAGAAATATTCAACTTCAAATTTCTTCAAGCACTTGCATAAATTATTAAGCATTTGACTTTATTGGTACCAGTCCCCTCCACCCAAGTCCAATGAGGGGAGACTCAGAAATGGGTTAAAGGTCACGGCAGTCAGCTGTACTTACTGTTTGATAATGAAAACTTTTTTCAAAAAGTGTTTCCTTGTCAGCAGGGATGATTTTATATAACCACATCAAAACATTTAGTAAAATATTCTGCTGAGATTTAAAGTAAAAAGTCAGAGATACAGCAGGGGTAGTAGGGACATTGTTCTAATTCTTTGTGGGAAGGATGGGGTGGGGGTGAGGAGAGACTCCCTGGTGAAACTTTGCTAAGAATTAGATCTCTTTAGGCCAGGCGCGGTGGTTCAGGCCTATAATCTCAGCGCTTTGGGAGGCCGAGGCGGACGGATCACTTGAGGTCAGGAGCTTGAGACCAGCTTGGTGAACATGGCAAAACATGGTCTGTAATAAAAGTACAAAAATTAGCTGGGCATGGTGGTGCATGCCTGTAGTCCCAATTACTTGGGAGGCTGAGGCTGGAGAATCACTTGAACCCAGGAGGCGGAGCTTGCAGTGAGCCAAGATCACACCACTGCACTCCAGCCTGGGGGACAGAGCGAGACACCATCTCAAAAAAAAAAAGAGTTACAACTAATTACAGATTTTGCCTTTGCTACAAGTGTAGCTCAAATCTCCCCCTAAACAGTTGCTGGCATAGTCAAGTATACCTGGGTCAGTACCTCAGAGCCCTTGACTTGATTTTTTCTCCTTCTTTATCATGAGGCTTACCATCTCCTGCTGCAATGAATTAATATCCAAGCATTTGCTTTGTAGAACATCCTTACAGACACCTTTCTCACGTGTAGTGTTTCCACACTGGGTTCTTTTCCTTCGTGTTGTTTACTCTCTTGCATATTAATTTTTTCTCTTTTCTGTAGCTTGCTTCTCTGGCTCTCCTCAACACCAATCCCAGTCATGGAGCCTCTTCCTCTGCCTTTATCCTGAAGATCACTTTTAGGGAAGCCTCTGCTTAGTTCACGCCATTCTCCTGCCTCAGCCTCCTGAGTAGCTGGGACTACAGGGGCCTGCCACCACGCCCGGCTAATTTTTTGTATTTTTTTTTTTTTAGTAGAGACAGAGTTTCACCGTGTTAGCCAGGATGGTCTTGATCTCCTGACCTCGTGATCGGCCCACCTCTGCCTCCTAAAGTGCTGGGATTACAGGTGTGAGCCACCACGCCAGGCCAATTAGTTGTAACTCTTTAGTAAAATCTAAGAGTTTTTATATTTAGTAAATATTTATATTTACTAAATTTATATTTAGTAAAATATAAGACAAACTAATGGTTTGTCTATATGTTATACATAAATTATAAATAAATTATTCCCAAAGGCATTCCTTTTTTTTTTTTTTTTTTTTCCGGAGATGGAGTTTCACTCTTGTTGCCCAGGCTGGAGTGCAATGGCGCAGTCTCAGCTCACTGCAATCTCCAAGGCCTCCTGGGTTCAAGCAATTCCCCTGCCTCAGGCTCCCAAGTAGCTGGGATTACAGGCGCCTGCCACTACGCCCGGCTAATATTTGTATTTGTAGTAGAGATGGGGTTTCACCATGTTGGCCAGGCTGGTCTTGAACTCCTGAACTCAAGTGATCCATTTGCCTCAGCCTCCCAAAGTGCTGGGATTATAAGCGTGAGCCACTGCGCCCAGCTTTTAAGGCATTCCATTTTTAAAGATTGTTTAAGAATCCCGGATGTTCGTCATTTATGTCAAAAATTCCAAGTTCCTGTCATATCTAAGATGGAAACAAAAATCATATCCTCTCACAAGTTCTACCTGCATACCTGCCTACCTAGCAGAATGGAAACAGAGGATTCCATGATACGGCTGAAAATAAAGATGTTACCAGCGTATATGTTATCATCATCACTATCTTTAGAATGGTTGCTTAATTCGTATTTTAGTATCATCATTGTCAAATAGTGAAATGTTTATAAAATGTCAACAATTGATCCACAAGCCACAATAAGTGAAAGTAATGAGAAAATTATCAGGATAATTAGAGCCAAAAATAAGTTCTTTATATAAGCTTGAAGACAGAATCTCTGAATGCCCATAATTATCTATCTGATGATGTTAACAATTGCTTTAGGCATTTTTTTTTCAGTAAACATTTACGGGGTACCACCCATGTCCCATACACCGTGCTAGGTCCTACCCATGCTTTGAAGTAGCTCTCAGCTTAGAAGAGGGAGAAAGCAAGTAAGAATTAACATTACATGAAACAAGCTATGAAGAAGGTAGAAGCCAGGAACTGAGGAAGCACAAATGAGCGACGACTCAGCCTGAAAGGTCTGAGAAAGTTTCAAAGAGGAGTTGACAACTCAGCTGAGGATTTCTTTTTTTTCTTTTTTTTCTTTTTTTTGTTTTTTTTTTTTGAGGCAGAGTCTAGCTCTGTCGCCCAGGCTGGAGTGCAGAGGCGCAATCTTGGCTCACTGCAACCTCCGCCTCCCAGGTTCAAGCAATTCTCCTGCCTCAGCCTCCCGAGTAGCTGTGGGATTACAGGCATGTGCCATCACGCCCAGCTAATTTTGTATTTTTAGTAGAGACAGGGGTTTCTCCATGTTGGTCAGGCTGGTCTCCAACTCCCGACCTCAGGTGATCTACCCACCTCGGCCTCCCAAAGTGCTGGGATTACAGGCGTGAGCCAGCGTGCCTGGCCCTGAGCTGAGGATTTCTCCAGCATACATTTATGCCTTTACCCATTCAAAGGTTAGAAGAGCTTTCCAGGGCAGATGGGTAAAGGCATAAAAGCACAGGGAGTAGAGCAAAATAAGGTGGGTGCAGGCAAAGTCGCTTACTGGGTCTGGAGCCCAGGAAAGTCGCTCAGTAGGAAGTGGCATCAGTGAGGTAGGCAGGAAAGTCGCTCAGTAGGAAGTGGCATCAGTGAGGTAGGAAGGCTGTCCCAGGCCAGCTCAGAAAGGGCTGAGGAGCCATGCCAGAAGGCCTGGATTCACTGTGTCCCCTTCCCTTCTATTTTAGCCTAAAATAGGCTTATAATGAAAGAGGTCCCTATCTTCATTTGTCAAGTGAACCAAAACATCCTTGCTCTTGAGACAGTATAGTAGGTAAGTGTGAACACTCTGAAACCATGTGATCTGGTTTTAAATCCCAGCCTTGACTCTTGAGTAGCTGAATGACCGTGGTCAAGTTATTTACTGTCTCTGTACCTCAGTTTTATCATTTATAAAATGAGGGTAACAATAGTACTGCCCCATAGGTCTGTGGTAAGAATTCATGAGTCAATAGAGTCATGCATTGCTTAACTACAAATATATTCTAAGAAATGAGTCCTTAGGTGACTCTGTCGTCATGCAAACATCATAAAATAAACTTACACAAACCTAGATGGTATAGGATACCACATCCCTATACCTAGGAACAATATAGCCTATTGTTCCTAGGCTACGTAACCATATAGCATGTTACTGTACTGAATACAGTAGGCAATTGTAATACAGTGGTATTTGTGTATCTAAACATAGAAAAGGTACATTAAGAATATAGTATAAAAGATTTTTTTTTTTTTTGAGATGGAGTCTTGCTCTGTGGCCCAGGCTGGAGCGCAGTGGTGTGATCTCAGCTCACTGCAAGCTCCGCCTCCTGGGTTCATGCCATTCTCCTGCCTCAGCCTCCCGAGTAGCTGGGACTACAGGCGCCCACCACCACACCCAGCTAATCTTTTGTATTTTTAGTAGAGACGGGGTTTCACCGTGTTAGCCAGGATGGTCTCGATCTCCTGAGCTCGTGATCCGCCTGCCTCAGCCTCCCAAAGTGCTGGGATTACAGGCGTGAGCCGCCGCGCCTGGCCTAAAAGATTTTTTAAATGGCACGCCTGTATAGGAAACTTACCATGAATGGAGCTTTCAGGACTGGAAGTTGCTCTGGGTGAGTCAGTGAGTGATGAGTGAATGTGAAGGCCTAGGATGTCACTGTACACTACTGTAGAGTTTATTAACACTGTAGAGTTACACTACATGTTTATAAAAAAATTCTTTAATACTAAATCTTAGCTCACTGTAACTTTTTAATTTTATAAACATTTTAAATTTTCAAACTTATTTATTTATTATTGTTTTTTGCTCAGGCTGGAGTGCAGTGGCGCTATCTCGGCTCACTGCAACCTCTGCCTCCCAGGTTCAAGCAATTCTCCCACCTCAGCTTCCTGAGTAGCTGGGATTACAGGCACACACCACCACGACCGGCTAATTTTTTGTATTTAGTAGCGACGGGGTCTCACCATGTCAGCCAGGCTGGTCTCAAACTCCTGACCTCAAGTGATCCGCCCGCCTTGGCCTCCCAAAGTGCTGGGATTACAGGCGTGAGCCACCGTGCCCAGCTTTTATTATTATTCTTTGAGGCGGGGTCACCTAGGCCGAAATGCAGTGGTACAATTATAGCTCACTGCAGCTTCAACCTCTTGAGTTCAAGCAATCCCCTCACCTCAGTCTCCTGAGTAGCTAGGACTATAGGTATGTACCACCACGCATGGATAATTTTGTTTATTTTTTGTAGAGACGAGGTCTCACCACGTTGTTCAGGCTGGTCTCGAACTTTGGACTCAAGCTATCCTCCGTCCTCGGTCTCCCAAAGTGCTGGGATTACGGGCATGAGCCACTACACCCCACCTGATTCATTCATAATAACACTTAGCTTAAAACAAATACATCGTACAACTGTACAAACATTTTCTTTCTGGCCGGGCACGATGGCTTACAACCGTAATCCCAGCACTTTGGGAGGCCGAGGAGGGTGGATCACCTGAGGTCAGGAGTTCAAGACAAGCCTGGCCAATATGATGAAACCCCATCTCTACTAAAAAGACAAAAGTTAGTTGGGTGTGGTGATGGGCGCCTGTAATCCCAGCTACTTGGGAGGTTGAGGCATGAGAATTACTTGAACCTGGGAATCAGAGGTTGCACTGAGCCAAGATTGTGCCACTGCACTCCAGCCCAGGTGATGGAGCGAGACTCTGTCTCAAAAAACAAACAAACAAACAAACAAAACATTGTCTTTCTTTATATCCTTATTCTATGAGCTTTTTTCTATTAAAAAAATTGTTTTAACTGATTAAACTTTGTTGTTAAAAACTAATATGTTAAAAACACACATATTAGCCTAGGCCTACACAGGGTCAGGATCATCACTATCATAGACTTCCACCTCACATCTTGTCCCACTGGAAGGTCTTCAAGGGCAGTAACATGCATGGAGCTTTCATCTCCTGTGATAACAATGCCTTTCTTCTGGAATACCTCCTGAAGGACCTGTCTAAGCCTGTTTTACAGTTAACTTTCTTTTTTCTTTTTAAATAAGTAGGAGTATACTCTAAAAAATAAAAAGTATAGTAAACACATAAACCAGTAACATACTGTTTATCATTACCAAGTATTCTGTACTATACATACTTTTATTTGTTAGGCTTTTTTTTTTTTTTAAAACCGGGTCTCACTCTCTCTCCAGGTTGGAGTGCAGTGGCACCATCATGGCTCACTGCAGACTCAACCTCCTGGGCTTAAGTGATCCTCCTGCCTCAGCCTCCTGAGTAGCTGGGACCAAAGGCATGCGCCACCATGCCTGGCTAATTTGTTCTTGTATTTTTTGTAGAGACAGGCTCTCACTATGTTGCCCCGGCTGGTCTTGAACTTCTGGGCTCAAGCAATCGGCCTGCCTTGGCCTCCCACCGTACTGGGATTACAGGCATGAGCCACTGTGCCCAGCCCGTCCTAGACTTCTATAGGCATGGCAGCACAGTAGGTTTGTTTACAGCAGCATCACATTACTTATTACACGTGAGTAATGCATCTTGCTACATATGTCACTAGGCAATAGGAATTTTTGTAATCTTATGGGGTCACCATCATACATTCTGTCAGTGGTGACCTAAACATCTTATGTGTCACATAACTGTACATGTAGAAGTACTTGGAATGTAGCTGATGAGTAATCAGCATTCAATAAATATTAGATCTTATTGTTATTGGATGGTATTAGCATGTTCAGAAATTAATAATGTGCTTTTGTAAGTTTCTTTTTCATCATGTGTATTTCCACTGGCCTCCTATTAGGCCACATGTGATTTTTGTTTGCTTTTCACAGCCTTGCCCAACCCCCCACCCAGGACAAGATCCTTCCTTAAAAATTACTTCTGAAGGGCCAGGTGCGGTGGCTCAGGCCACTCCAGCCCGGGCGACAGAGCGAGGACTCCATCTCAAAAAAAAAAAAAATACAAAAGTACAAAAAATTAGCCAGGCATGGTGGCATGCGCCTGTAATCCCAGCTACTTGGGAGGCTGAGGCAGGAGAATCGCTTGATCCCAGAAGGTGGAGGTTGCAGTGAGCCGAGATCATGCCACTGCACTTTGCCTGGGTGATAGAGCAAGGCTCTTGTCTCAAAAAAAAAAAAAATTACTTCTGAAGCAGAGCAGCATGCTGCTGTTGTCAGGTTGGTCTTGTGTGATCTCTGTCCAGCCTGGCTGCTAATAAAAAATGAATGTTTAGTTCACAGCCAGTTCAGCTGTGCTACCCAGGGTACCGCCTAGGCAGGGGAAGTCTCAGCCCAGGGCACCTGGATTATGACACTGTGAAGATAGACTTTCCATTCTAGAAAACGGGATACTTCCACTGGAGGCATTCCATTTAACTCTCTGAAACAGCAATCTGCCAACTCTGTGGGGAGTAAAAATAATTTTTAAAAGTGTCCGTTATTAAGCGTGGGAGAGAATTCCGTGCCCAGGCAGGGAATAAGTGGACAGTTAAAAGGGGCACTTTCAAGTTTCTTCCAAACTAATCACAAATAGGTGCAGTTAGTTGCCAGTTTGGCAAACTGTGTTTTATGGTCAGATTGATGATCTAGAATGACTTCTGCAAAGGTATGGTGGTTCAAGGACAGTAGAACACCAATTTAAGAGTTGTCTTTTTTTTTTTTTTTTTTTTTCTGAGAAGGAGTCTGGCTCTGTTGCTCAGGCTGGAGTGCATTCTCTGGCTGGAGTGCAGTGGCACAATCTCGGTTCACCACGCCTGGCCAAGAGTTGTGTCTTGCACATTTAAGATAAAGTCCCAATGTGGACATTCATGCAAAAGCTGGGACTACCACTCCTCCTTTTTGTATTTTTAGTAGAGACAGGGTTTCACCATCTTGGCCAGGCTGGTCTTGAACTCCTGACCTCGGGTGATCTACCTGCCTTGGCCTCCCAAAGTGCTGGGATTACAGGTGTGAGCCACCACACCTGGCCCTTCCTGGACCATTCAATGTTTATGGGAGAAGAAACAATGTGCCAATCTTTATTCGACTAAAGGTTTGTTTCAGTGTCCTTAACTGTAGAACTTAGATGCCCAGAATGAGGAAAATCACATCCTGCTACAACTCGTGGTCCCAGAATGTACAGATACGAATCTGAGGAACAATTTATAAAATAATTTCATTTATTCTATATGAAGAGGGGAGCCTTAAAGACTGTATGAAACTTGAGAGCTATGAATTGCTAATAAAAAGCAGAATCTCTAACCTCTCCCTTAGCTCTTTGGGGATTTTCTTTGCTTTCCTGAGTTAACTTATAGCTATTGCCTGTCAACTCCCTTCCAAGAACATTACCCATCACCTTCTGTGGTCTATATATAAAATCTTGGCTTCCATTCTTTCCTAAGACAATTTCCCATGAGGATATCTGTGGTTAATTGTGTGTGTGTGTGTGTGTGTGTGTGTGTGTGTGTGCTGGTAGCAGCTTTACAGATCAACACTTCGGTAAAACTAGAAAAACACCCTCACCATGCACTATCTAGTCATAATGTCTTTATCTCACATCCAAAAGGCACCTTCTCTGGGGAGAACCACAATGTCAAGATTTCAAGCTGGCCAAGCCCAAGACAGACAGTCATGGATCAGCTGGTTATCAGGTACCTCTGGGGATATCTGAATGCTTCCTGTCTACACCTATAAATGGCTATAGGAATCCTGAACACTAGGTTTGTCTGAAAGTTGGACCAGACATAGCAAGAAGTATTGCTAACTGGAATTCACAAGGGTAGCTGCTTAGTGAGTCAGTGTATCAGAGGAAAGGGAGTTACATATCACTCCTCTGAGAAATACCTTTGACAGAAATACCTATCATTATTTATGACTTGGATTCCAGGATACACAAAGAAGGGATGGGGGACAGAGTGTTTGCAGATGGAAGAAATAACACTGCTTCAGAGTTGAATGTTCAATTCTTCTCTGACACCAATCAATATGTGATTTGATTGCCATAGTTAGTGCTAATGTTTATTCAGTGACAATCTAGGAGAGGTTTCTACCTGAAGAAAGGAAAAAAAGTATATATACTTTTACACTTTTATAAAAATGTAAATACACACACATATACATATATATATGAATATGTACTTATTCACCTTATTAAATAATTCAGATTCCTTTGTTGTCAATAATCAATTGGAAAATCTGTTCTGGGTCCAGTTAGTACATTATTTTATTTTACTTTTATTTTTCGAGATGGAGTCTTGCTCTGTCACCCAGGCTGGAGCTCAGCGGTCTGATCTCGGCTCACTACGACCTCTGCTTCCCAGGTTCAAGTGATTCTCCCACTTCAGCCTTCCGAGTAGCTGGGATTACAGGCGCCTGCCACAACTCGCGGCTAATTTTTGTATTCTTAGTAGAGACGGGGTTTCAC
Source organism: Homo sapiens (assembly GCF_000001405.40). Lineage (NCBI taxonomy): Eukaryota > Metazoa > Chordata > Mammalia > Primates > Hominidae > Homo > Homo sapiens. The sequence continues at coordinate 104,953,868 of NC_000009.12, forward strand.
CATGTTGGCCAGGCTGGGCTCGAGCTCCTGACCTCAAGTGATCTGCCCACCTCGGTCTCTCAAAGTGCTGGGATTATAGGCATGAGCCACTTTGCCCGGCGGTACATTATTTTAATTCCTTCCTCACACATTCAGCAAGCGTTTGGAGATCCTGTATGTGTCAGGCACTGCGTTAGACACTTGGGAAACACAAATGAGTAGGGCAAAGTTCTAGCCCTCAGGGAATTTGAGAAAGCCAAACATCTGAAGGAAAATCTTAGCACAATATTAGAATCTTTAGCACATAGGATCTTTGCTTATTTGGTATTCCAATAAATCACTGAATAAATAGATTTCATAGTCTTTATAGGCACATAATAGGTACAAGACAAAAATATTCCTTAATTACATGAGTCTAATTATAGTATCTTTTGGCCACTATTCACTATCATCCTGCATGGGCATGGGGTGTGGTTAAATACTTAGCAGTAACAGTAAGCATTCTTCAGGTTCATTCACATAGCAATAATGAATAAATAATACAGATAGGCCGGGCATGGTGGCTAATGCCTGTAATCCCAGCACTTTGGGAGGCCGAGGCCGGTGGATCACAAGGTCAGGAGTTCGAGACCAGCCTGACCAACATGGTGAAACCCCGTCTCTACTAAAAATACAAAAATTAGCTGGGCGTGGTGGCATAGGCCTATAATTCCAGCTACTCAGGAGGCTGAGGCAGGAGAATCTCTTGAACCCGGGAGGCAGAGGTTGCAGTGAGCTGAGATCGTGCCACTGCACTCCAGCCTGGGCGACAGGGCGAGACTCCGTCTCAAAATAAATAAATAAATAAATAATAAAAATAATAATACAGATAGAAGTGGAGCTGCTCTGCTTGAAGTGTGAGTAGAGAATGGTCCCAGACACCTTCTGATTCAATCTCCTCTCTCACACACAGCAATCCCTAAGAAATGCCCTAGGGTTCCACAAGGCACTGTTTGAAAACTATGTGCTGAGTAGGTATCCAAAATTCCCTCCAGCTCTGAAGGTCTGTATGGATGATGTTTAATCACTTCATTGATAACTGAGTAATCCTGGATTCATAACTTCACTTCTTAGGCTCTCAGTGGGCCAACTTGCAGGCACAATGCCCATTTGCCCCTCCAGACTGTGAGCTCCTTTTCTTTACAGACTGGGTTTATTCAACCTTGTTTCCCCAATTCTTAACACAAAGCCTGGCAAGAAGTAAATAACAAGAGTGAACATGGAATGAATAAACAAATGTGCCTGAGAAGAAATAGGATTCCCCTAGGGGAAGACACTTAGAATTGTGGCGGCAGTAGTGTATGCTCTGATCACCTCCTAGCTGCCTACTTTCCTGGACACGCACACACACCTTACCCTTATTCTGGTCAAGAGGACAGCAGCTCTAGTGTAGAATGCTCTGTGTGAGTCTCTATTATTGATAACTGTGTTCTGGGGCTCCTTCCTATGGCAAGCACTTATTATTTAAACCTAAGGAAGATTACCTATTCTTATTCCATCCTCCGTTTATTCCCTGCCTTTTCTCCTTCTCCCTTAAGCTCAAAGTAGACACTCAATACGTGTTGGTGCCTTCCCCTATTCTCCACGTGATGAGATCTTTAAACTTTCCCCAAGTTGGTCAGGCTCCTCTGGGTCAGCTCCAGTTGGGGAACATCTTTCCTAAAGTCAGATACCTGGTTCCATCAACAGTGCTACTATGGGCGTAACCACTAGAAAGTACAGCTGAATGGGCATTTCCATCTGACAAGGATACTATTCTTATCCTCATCAGGATAAGGAACCTGTTTTATACAATTGACTCACATTGTGTTTGAAATTGACTAAAATGTTCTGGTCTTCAGAAAGTCAATTCTCCCTTATCCTATACTTATGCATTTTCAAAAACACAGGTTTAACAATTTACATTTCACCGGGTGGCTCAAGCCTGTAATCCCAGCACTTTGGGAGGCCAAGGCAGGCGGATCACTTGAAGTCAAGAGTTTGAGACCAGCCTGGCCAACATGGTGAAACCCCGTCTCTACTAAAAACACAAAAATTAGCGGGGCGTGGCGGCGCGAGCCTATAATCCCAGCTACTCGGGAGGCTGAGGCAGGAGAATCGTTTGAGTCCAGGAGGTGGAGGTTGCAGTGAGTCGCAATTGCACCAATGCACTCCAGCCTAGGCGACAGAGCAAGACGCCATCTCAAAAAAAAAAAAAAGAGTTTACATTTGTCTTCACCCTTCACCTAAAATCATTGGTTACTTTTTGGATGCTGTTGCAACCTGAAATTTTTTTTTCTTAAAAAAATATTGCCAAGCGTATTGGTTCATGCCTGTAATCCCAGCACTTTGGGAGGCCGAGGCAGGCAGATCACTTGAGGTCAGGAGTTCGACACCACCCTGGCCAACATGGTGAAACCCCATGATGAAATATAAAAATTAGTTGGGCATGGTGGCATGCACCTGTAATCCCAGCTTCTTGAGAGGCTGAGGCAGGAGAATCATCTGAACATGGGAGGCAGAGGTTGCAATGAGCCGAGATCAAGCCATTGCACTCCAGCCTGGGTGACAGAGTAAGACTCCATCTCAAAAATATATATATATGGCCGGGTGGGGTGGCTCACACCTGTAATCCCAGCACTTTGAGATGCTGAGGCAGGTGGATCACCTGAGGTCAGGAGTTCGAGACCAGCCTGACCAACATGGTGAAACCCCATCTCTACTTAAAAAATACAAAATTAGCCAGGTGTGGTGGCACATGCCTGTAATCCTAGCTACTTGGGAGGCTGAGGCAGGACAATTGCTTGAACCTGGGAGGCAGAGGTTGCAGTGAGCCAAGATCGTGCTATTGTACTCCAGCCTGGACAACAACAGTGAAACTCCATCTCAAAAAGAAATACATATTATATATATATGTATCTTGATATTCATTGTATTTGTTGTCTCTCAAAATGTTGTGTAAGGGCATGTATACATTTCATTTGAGTTATTGATAAAACTGCAAAGTTTTAGAGCCCTGTGGCATGCCATTATAGACCTCCTTTGAAGTTGCCTTTGGCCCATTAATTATGTTTAATCAGCAATGGATCTGTCATCTTGTTTTTTGAGACTGAGTTTCACTCTTGTTGCCCAGGCTGGAGTGCAGTGGCGCGATCTCAGCTCACCGCAACCTCCACCTCCTGGGTTCAAGCAATTCTCCTGCCTCAGCCTCCCGAGTAGCTGGGATTACAGGCATGCGCCACCACGCCCGCTTAATTTAGTATTTTTCGTAGAGATGGGGTTTCTCCATGTTGGTCAGACTGGTCTCGAACACCTGACCTCAGATGAGCAGCCTGCCTTGGCCTCCCAAAGTGCTGGGATTACAGGCGTGAGCCACCGTGCCTGGCCTGGATCTGTCCTCTTACTATTCAGTTTGAGTTCACTCCATCTTGTCTCAAGGAAACATTTTATCCTGACTGAAATCAAGATACACTATTTTTAAAAATTTCTCTCCTCTCAGTGTCAACTCTATCATAAAAGGAAAGAAGGTTAGTTTGGCATGGCTTGCTCTCAGTAAACCCATGCTCTTTCCTGTGCTATGTGTTTATAAAGCATCTGTTCACCATCTGATGCCAGCGATTGAACATCAAATTCACCAATTTTACGATTTTTTTCCTATCTTAAAAGTTAGATTTATTTCATTCACAACTAAATTTAGTTTTATTTTTATTAATAAAACATAACAGATTTGGGCAAGACTTCGAATATAATGCATTTGCAGATAAAAATCTATGTTTATAGCTTGTGAGGGCCCTGATTCTATCACAACTTGAAAGTTGAGAAAACATGAGGCTCTAACCCATATGTTGCACCCCCTGGGTTGCTATGCCACTATATCCATCACTGTGTTTATGTGGTGTTTCCCTCGGTGTCCTTTGGTGCTCCCGTGTTTAATACTGGTGATAAGCACAAAGGCAGAGCCCAAACCTCAGACATATACAAGAGGTTGATGCAAATGATTTAATAATTGGTAGGAAAAGCAAGGTGACATACTAGAAAGAAATTACACCAAGATAGCAGCAGCCAAACAGCAGCTGTCCTATTCCAGTGTGGATGCACAATAAATACGACCTAGTAAGATGAGAAAGGCCAGCAGCAGCCTATATTATATTATTATACCCCACCCTGACCCCCAATATGTAATGTCAGTTCCATAGTTTATGGAATGAAACCAAATAAGCCCACATTCCCAACCACCACCACCCCCCTTTTTTTTTAATTAAAAGCAATAATTGTGAAGGGAAAGTGAAGGTAAAATTTTGCTCTTGTAACGTTCATTTTGTTTCTTTTTTGAGATGGAGTTTTGCTCTTGTTGCGTGGGCTGGAGCATAGTGGCGCAACCTCAGCTTACTGTAACCTCTGCCTCCTGGGTTCAAGCAATTCTCCTGCCTCAGCTTCCTGAGTAGCTGGGACTACAGGCATGTACGTACCACCATGGCTGGCCAATTTTTGTATTTTTAGTAGAGATGGGGTTTCACCATGTTGACCAGGCTGGTCTCAAACTCCTGACTTCAGGTGATCCGCCCGCCTTGGCTTCCCAAAGTGCTAGGATTACAGGCGTGAGCCACCACACCTGGCCTTCATATTTTTATTTAATGTGCTCTAGATCATGAAGATAAGAGCAGAAAGAGTGTTGGAAATTAAAACAACTAACTCCTGCTGCACCTTGAGCTGGTCTGCCTGCCTCAATGAAGCAGGCAGTTGAATTTGTGTGTGCATCCAAACAAACCCACATGCATTGGTTTTCCCTTGCATGCCTTGCAATTTCATGTTTCAAGAATTTTATATTCCTTTATGTAGGAAGCTGACAATCACAAAGGAGTGTCCTTAGAGTTTTTTCTAATTTTTATGTGCCTAACTATGCTTCATCCCACTCCCTTTTTATCTTCTCTCTTTCAGAAAAATTCTAATTGGACACCATGGAGTGAGTTTTCCTCTCTAGTTCAGATTATATTTACAAAATTGCTAGAAAAACACCAACATTGCCTCACCCCCAGACAAAATATTACAAAGCAATCTCCTCTGTACAGCCAAATTACTGTCATGATCACACAGGAAACAAATGCAAAGTTACCCTCTCTTCTTCTCAAATTCTTAAGCAATTGAGGGCAAGGACCAAGAGAAAGAAAAACAAAAGTTGCTTTGATTGGGAAAAATATTTTGAGAAGTATTACGATGTGAGGTGTCTGACATAGTAAATTTTACTTAACCAGAATATTCAGGGAATGGGGCTCTAGTATTTGTTTTTGCTTGTTTACTTGCTTTTGTTTTAAATTCCCTAATGTAAAAGATGCTGTGTTACTACATGATTCCATTTTCATGTTATTCTGGAAAAGGCAAAGCTAAAGAGTCAGAGGATAGATCAGTGGTTTCCAGGGTTTAAAGGTGAGAGGAAGCGTTGACTACAAAGAGACAGCACAAGGGTGCTTTTTCGGGTGTGGAGCAATTCCGCATTTTAATTTTGGTGGTGATTCCATGAGTGTATGTATGTTTCAAAGCACGTGGAAATACACAGTAAAAAGAGTGAATTTTTCTGTAATAAAATTAAAAATAAACAACTGCAGTAAAATATTAAGTTGTGTGATGAAGAAGGAAGACTACTGAATCGCGATTTAAGTGACCTAAGGTGACTCCTGCTAGCTACATCCCCCTTTCTAGCACTAAAGACAAACGTACTTTTGCTTTTATTCTTATTACTAGAAATCTTTCTAATTTTACTTTAGGATATGCGCCTACCATAGGAAGTAGAACATTCAAGACGAAAACATCAACTGTCCTTGGTGTTTCAGTCTTCGGGACCTCTTTGTCACATTCTGGGATACAGAAGGTAACTACCAGCATGGGACCTCCCCATCTGAATGCTCACCCTTCCCTGTCCTTCCCTGGTGCTTTCCACCTCCACAAGCTATCATATTTTATAGATTTACCAAAGTCTTAATGCATTTAATTATTTACACATTTTATTGTACGCAAAATTAACAATTACATTCTTAGATGCACTGAATGAGTTCAACAATCAAGCACTTGAGAGAGCAACATACGGTTCTGTGATTGGATTTAGCAACACAGAGACATTTATACTGAATTGTCCTCCTGCCCATATTCTCTGCAACTCTCAGCTCTGCCTGTTTCCTGTAAACAGCTTTTATGCTAGAGCAGGCATCTCCAACAGTGAATCAAGAGAAATCCTTCTATCAGACAGTCATGCATTGTTAACTATCATGCACTGAGGTGTTCTTTGTTAGAAAAATATTTCTTGTATGCTTTTACAGGTTCATGAATGATATATCCTCAGCATTTCTATATAATTAGTCCCAGGGTATTTTTACATATCTCATTCCCAATTCGTCTTCCATTTCATCAGTGTTCTCTGTCTTTAGACTTGGTCTCCTCAAGTCTCCGTTCTGTTTCACTAGCTTGTCTTGTATGATTTTTTAGGGCTCATTGACACAGTTAAGCCATTTTTGCTTCTTATAACTTTTGACTAAGTAAACTGGTACACAATCACTTGATGATAGCACATTGATTGATGACAGTTATCAAGTGAAAAATTTGCCCAGCAGAACCTTAGTGCAGTGTGTCTAAGCATTTTAAAGATAGATAGATAGATAGATAGATAGATAGATAGATACATACATACATAGATACATAGATACATAGATACATAGATTAGATAGATAGATAGATAGATAGATAGATAGATAGATAGATAGATAGATAGATAGATAGATAGATAAACAATATCTTTCACATTTCATTTGTTTCTGGTGATACCCAAGTTCCAGAGTTTCTAGCAGAGACTGTAGATCTATACAAAATGGGGAGGAAAAGTCTTCCAGTCAGAAGTTATCCCTGACTCCTCCTTCTCCATCACCCTTCACCTCCTACTGGTTGCCACCTCTTGTCAGCTCCCTCACTTCTCTGCATCACTCTGGCCCTGCCCTCCTGGAAAAGGCTTCGACCCTCTCTATTCCTGGACCACAGCCATTTGCCTATGGCTGTGGAAAGTACTCAGTAAATATTGGCTGGCTGGCTGGCTGGCTGGCTGGCTGCATAAAAGGATGGAGGAAAGGGAAGGAAGGAAGGAAGGTAGGAAGGAAGGAAAGGAAGGAAGAAAGGAAGGAACGAAGGAAGGAAAGGAGGGAGGGAGGGAGGGAAAATGGAAACAAGAAAAAAAGAAAAAGAAAAAAAGGAATAGTTCTTTTTGATACCATGTGGATAGAGTACTTGGAAATCAGAAATGACCAGGCTATGAAGCATCTAATTTCCCAGCTCTCTGGATAGGAGAATGAGCCCAAAGAAATAATTTTTGCCCACCCCAAGGGTTCCCACTATCCATATGGATAGTCAGCATTTGGTGATTAACGATATTTCACATCCCACCAACAAAAAGTAGAGAAAAAAATCAATCTCTCACATGGTCCTCTGGGAAGGTGGTGAGGCGTTGGTGCCTCTTACTGGCAGACTCCGCCCACCTCCATACTCACAGCTCCCTATATAGCCCTCATGCATATGGCTGCATGAGTCATCCTGACCCTTAGTAACCTTTGTTGCCTGATTTCCTGTTCTTTCAAATGAGAAAGCTCTACTACATCATTTCTCGGAGAGACCTAAGTCCTCACCTGCCTGGGAGTCTGAAACCTCTGCCCTGGAAAGCCATGCTAGCCAAAAATCAGCAGCCAGGGCTATACATTGATAAACTAACTAAAGTAACAAGGTTTAAGCGAGAAATTCACTCTTAAAACATCGCTCTTTGTTGGTAGAAATGGAGCCCCTCACATAAAAGTATGTTGATCATAGTTCTGTTAACTAAGAACTTTTTTTTTTTCTAAACTGCTGCTGTTTATTCCAGTGGTATGATAATAGAACTTGATCATGTTTATACAGGTCAATGTTTTTTGGCGTTACTTCATATGGGAGTAAGCCCCATAAAGTGAATTCAAGTGTGTGTGGGTGGATGTTATTAGCTGCTGACACTGCCTTGAAGATTTTCTGTTTGCTGCAGCTCTACACCATGGTGTAAAGATGGACCACTTTTCCCTTCTCCGGGTGTGAGGCAATTGAAATAGGCTGTATCTGGCTTTTTGCCTCACAGAGAATCTTGTGTGTAAACCAGCTGAGAAGGTGAAAAGTCAATTGCCCATGGCCAAAAGCTAAGCAGGCTTTCCTTAAAGACAGAGAAACTCTTTCCTACCACCTTCAGCCAAGGCATGAACGGGGTTATAGTCCTGGCCTCAAACAGTTCCAACAATTTAAAGGTTATAAAACGATTAGCAAAAACAGTATGGCCAAAGAGGAAGACTGAAAAGCTTATACAACTCTAGGCTCTATCAGGTAAAGATGGTGTCTTTTTTAAAACCTACTCATAGGCTGGGCGTGATGGCTCACGCCTGTAATCCTAGCACTTTGGGAGGCCAAGGTGGGCAGATTGCCTGAGCTCAGGAGTTCAAGACCAACCTGGGCAACACGTTGAAACCCCGTCCCTACTAAAAATACAAAAAATTAGCCGGGCGTGGAGGCATGCACCTGTAGTCCCAGCTACTCAGGAGGCTCAGGCAGGAGAATTGCTTGAACCTGGAAGGTGGAGGCTGCAGTGAGCCGAGATCACACCACTGCACTCCAGCCTGGGCGGCAGAGAGAGACTCGGTCTCAAATAAAATAAAATAAAATAAAGTAAAATAAAATAAAATAAAATAAAACCTACTCATTAGGTGCTCAGTAGAGTAGTGTGCAAATGTGGGTTCCTAATTAATAAGTCTTGTTTGCTGATAAATGGAAAGGCATTCTCATACACATTATTGAGAACCCAGGAGGACTTGTGATTCAAGGTATAAAGTCGAAGGTGGAAACCAGAAAACAAGTCCTATGTGTTCTTGTTACGAAAAAAAAAAAAGACACATTTTTCAATAGCCAATTATTATAGTGACAATGTGTTACTAAAATAATAAGAAAACAAGGGTTAAAACTTTTCAGCAGAACTGGATTTTCAGTTAAATAGCTTTAATATAGCAAAATACAATATGTTCTCTGCAGGTGGATCTCTTGCTGTTTCAATCCTTTAAAAAAGGTACAAAAAACATCTTTTCTAAAACTGAAAACTGATTGCAAGGGAGAGAAGAGACTCTCGTGTAAGAATTTGGCTCACCTGCCAACTCACTGGTATATATAATTCCAATAGATTAATCTGGCGTTTTGATTTGAAGACGCGAATGGAGAGATGTGTTTAGTGCTTACAATTGCACCTTCTCTCTGCATTCACCATAGACCTGTAGTAGAAAGCCATGCCCTCAGCCTGCACCTGCTCCACTCCTAGAGTAAGAATTTTTTGGCCAAATTTAGGACAGTTAGTGTCAGCTAACCATGTTGTCTCCACTAGTCCCACTGTGTTGCAGGAATGTGGAGACACAAAGCTGCGCAGATGGCTGTCAGCAAGATCCTACCTGCTTTAGTTCTCAGTGCCAAGGAGATCCTATAGTGAGTGATGGCTCATAGGATTGAATTATAAGATAAACTCAGAAAGTTATTTGAAAATGTTAAGTGTGGCTGGGTGCGGTGACTCACGCCTATAATCTCGGCACTTTGGGAGGCTGAGGCAGGCAGATCACCTGAGGTTGAGAGTTCGAGACCAGCCTGAGCAACATGGAGAAACCCCGTCTCTACTAAAAATTCAAAATTAGCCAGGCGTGGTGGCACAATGCCTGTAATCCCAGTTACTCGGGAGGCTGAGTAGGAGCAGGAGAATTGCTTGAACCCAGGAGGTGGAGGTTGCAGTGAGCTGAGATAGTGCCATTGTACTCCAGCCTGGGCAACAAGAGAGAAACTCCATCTTAAAAAAAAAAGAAAGAAAGAAAATGTAAGTGTAACTTCAGTTCCCCAAACTGGTCCGTCTTTTCCTTCCTTTTTTTTCTTTTTGATGGACAATTTCAAGAAATAAAGAAATAAAATGTTACAGACATGTTTGAAGTTCCTTCCAATTTTATTTCCTTCCTTTCCCCTGAATTTGGTGTTTATTAATCCCATACAAGCTTTTTATATTTTCTACATAAAAGTGTCCATAATCAATAACTAGTATTCTTTTGTATGTTCCAAACTTTATATGTGGTATCATACTGACACTGTAGACATCATTCTGTAACTTGCTCTTGCACAAATTATGTTTCTGAGATTTATACATGTTGATAATGCAGTTACTCATTTTCTTTATAATATTCATTTTCTTTGTAATTTCATTTGCAAGTAGCCGGGCGCAGTGGCTCACACCTGTAATCCCTACACTTTGGGAGGCCGAGGCGGGTGGATCACTTGAGGTCAGGAGTTCAAGACCAGCCTGGCCAACATGGTGAAACCCCATCTCTACTAAAAATACAAAAAATTAGCCGGGCATGATGGCAGACGCCTGTAATCCCAGCTACTCGGGAGGCTGAGGCAGGAAAATTGCTTGAACCTGGGAGGTGGAGGTTGCAGTGAGCTGAGATCATGCCACTGCACTGCAGCCTGGGCCACAGAGTGAGACTCCATCTCAAAAAACAAAATAAAATAAGTAATTTCATTTGCTTTGTAATATTCCAGTGAATGAAGTAATCAACTATCCATTCTTCTCTTAAGGGACATTTTATATTGTTTTCTATTTTTGGCTCTCATCATCATGAATGTCATGAATATTTTTGACATGTCCTTTTATGCATATATACAAGAGCTTCTCTAGAATGTATGCCCAGAGTGAACTTGCTTTGTAATCTTGACTTTTATGATATTGCCAAACAGAATCAAGTTACATTAACATCAATAGTAGATGAGATTTTCTGTGGCTCAACATCTTTAACATTACATATATAAAAATTTCTCGGCCGGGCGCGGTGGCTCACGCCTGTAATCCCAGCACTTTGGGAGGCCGAGGCGGGCGGATCACGAGGTCAGGAGATCGAGACCATCCCGGCTAAAACGGTGAAACCCCGTCTCTACTAAAAATACAAAAAATTAGCCGGGCGTAGTGGCGGGCGCCTGTAGTCCCAGCTACTTGGGAGGCTGAGGCAGGAGAATGGCGTGAACCCAGGAGGCGGAGCTTGCAGTGAGCCGAGATCCCGCCACTGCACTCCAGCCTGGGCGACAGAGCGAGACTCCGTCTCAAAAAAAAAAAAAAAATTTCTCTTTGTGGAGTTGGGGTCTCTCTATGTTGCCCAGGCTGTTCTTGAACTCCTAGCCTCAAGTCATCCTTCCACCTCAGCCTCCCAAAGCTGGGATTCAGGCCTGAGTCACCACACCTGGCTGACAAAACTTGATATTATTGTTCTTTTAAATGTTTCCAATCAAATAAGTGTGAAACAATTTTTTGTTGTTTTAATTAGTATTTTTCCATGATTACCAGTGAGGATAAAAATCTTCTCACATTAGCCATTCAAAGTTCCTCTTCCAGGAATTGCCAAATTATGTCTTTTTTCATTTGATATTGTATCATTAAAATGTATCACTTGTCTTTGTCTTATTGATGTATATAATGTTAAATGTTCTGAACACTAATCCTTTGTCTCTCTTTGAGTTATAAGTATCTTTCTAGTCTGTGCCTTGTCTTTTCACTTTCATGTTTTCTATTGTTAATGTACAGAAGTTTTGTGTGCTTACTTGTTTTTGTTTGTTTGTTTGTTTGTTTGTTTTCTGAGGCGGAGTCTCACTCTGTTGCCCAGGCTGAAGTGCAGTGGTGCGATCTCGGCTCACTGCAACCTCCGCCTCCCAGGTTCAAGCGATTCTCCTGCCTCAGCCTCCCAAGTAGCTGGGATTACAAGCACCCACCACCATGCCCAGCTAATTTTTTGTATTTTTAGTAGAGATGGGGTTTCACCACATTGGCCAGGCTGGTCTCAAACTCCTGACCTCAAGTGATCCGCCTGCCTTGGCCTCCCAAAGTGCTGGGATTATAGGCTTGAGCCACTGTGCCCGGCCTATGATTTTCAATGAAGTTTTGTATTTTGCTCTGTAAAGCTTTTGCATGTCTTTTTTTTTTTTAACCACTGTAAGTGGTATCTTTTATCAAATTAATGTTGGTCCTTTGTTGGTGGTGATAGAAATAAAATTGATTATTGTACAATTGCAGTTTTTTCTCCCAGCTGTTCTCACTTAAAAGGGTTAGTAATTTGTTAGTTATCTTGAAATTTTCTTGTACACAATAACATTGTCTTATATCTTACAACTTCTTGTCTTACTGCGGGTGGAGGGGGGGCTAGGACTTGATAAATTAAATGTATAATAGAAAAGCAAGTAGCCAGAAGGCTTGTTCTATTCCTGATTATAAAGAGAACTTCTGGCCCAGAGCAGTGGCTCACACCTATAATCCCAGCACTTTGGGAGGCCGAGGCGGGGAGATCACTTGAGGCCAGGAGTTCCAGACCAGTTTGGCCAAAATAGAGAAACTTCAACAATTAGTCTGGCATGGTGGCCCATGCCTGTAATCCCAGCTATTTGGAAGGCTGAGGCATGAGAGAATCACTTGAATCTGGGAGGCAGAGTTTGCAGTGAGCTAAGATCCCACCAATGCACTCTAGCCTGGGCAACAGAGTGAGACTCCATCTCAAAAAAAAAAAAAAAGAAGAACATTTGAGAATCACGCCTATAATCCTAGCACTTTGGGAGGCTGAGGCCAGTGGATCACAAGGTCAGGAGTTTGAGACGAGCCTGGCCAACATGGTGAAAGCCCGTCTCTACTAAAGATACAAAAAATCACACAGGTGTGGTGGCGTGCATCTGTAATCTCAGATACTCAGGAGGCTGAGGCAGGAGAATCACTTGAACCCAGGAGGTGGAGCCGAGATCGCGCCATTGCACTCCAGCCTGAGCAACAGGGCGAGACTGTATCTCAAAAAAAAAAAAAAAAAAAGGAAAAATCTAAATATTACTAAATATCGCAAGTATTGCTTCCTCCCTTTTAATGTTTCACAGTGTATGGGGGGTTTGTTCAGAACACAATAGCTGCTCTAGTGATCAAAATCACTATACATCAACTATTATTTCAATTTTTCAGTATGCCTATTGCTGGGCTGCCCCACACAAAGAACAAATAAAAAATTATGTATCTTGTTAACTTTTGCCAAGTTGGCCAATTTCATGTTATCCATAAATGCCACACTAAAGAGAGTGAACACACACATGGTCATAAAACAGCAGGCTGAAGCTAACTCCAAAAACAAAGAAAAAATCCAACGCTAAACCATTCTGCATTTAAGTTCCCAAATGACTCCCATGGAGGCCCTTAAATTGTATTTGTTTGGAAAAAACAAACAAACAAAAACAAAAGGAGTTCATCGTTAGCATGTGGAGGATGTTCATTAGCGGCTGTAAGAAATCACGGTCTAAACTACACCGTTCAAGAAACCCACTACAGTCGTGCAGACCAATAGCACTATTCTAGAAGGTAGCTATCCCTCGTGCCCTCTAAGAACCATCGTTTTGCATCGTTAGCAAGAAGCAAAGAGTAGATCTTAAACCTCTTTAAACTTCTCTGCGTCCTATTCAAAAATTAGGATACCACTTAACTCTGCACTTTAAAAAAGGATTTCAAGTGTGCTGCATTTTAAAGACACTTCATTACAAAAGTTAGAAAATTAAAGTATAAAACTTATCAAAACAAGTTTTTACGTTTTCAGGATGATTCACTGCAGAATTTCTTTAAACAGACTCCCCTCTTTTTTGTGTGTTGAGTCTTTAGGGAAAATAAGTGATAGTAAACATCAACCACAGACACCTGCAAACTAGGAAAAAAAATAGGGTTGCTTGGACATGGTAGGGAAAATAATTTATTTTCACAGAAATTTAGCCGGGCGCGGTGGCTCACGCCTGTAATCCCTGCACTTTGGGAGCTCAAGGTGGGTGGATCACCTGAGGTCAGGAGTTCAAGACCAGCCTTGCTGACATGGTGAAACCCAGTCTCTACTAAAAATACAAAAATTAGCTGGGTGGTAGTGGCACGCGCCTGTAATACCAGCTACTTGGGAGGCTGAAGCAGGAGACTCTCTTGAGCCTGGGAGGCAGAGGTTGCGGTGAGCCGAGATCGCGCCACTGCACTCCAGCCTGGGCAACAGGGTGAGACTACGTCTCAAAAAAAAAAAAAAAAAAAAAAAAAAAGAAGAAGAAATTTAACATACAGGCGATTTTTCAGGTTCTCATTTGCTAAACCAACAATGCAGAATTTGTGAAGTAGGGGCAACAAGTTGCTGAACCTGAGAGACGCCTCTAAATGCGCTCAGAGGTTATTTCAACTGTGCTGTTTGCTAGTTCAGGTACAACAGGCAAGACAGAAAGATGCCACCGCTCTCTCCACCCTCCCAGCGCCGGATCACAGAGCGCAGACCATGCACCCAGCCTTCCACACACGTCGCGATCTCGCCGCTTTAAGCTGCTGGGTACCCTCGGCCCGCCCACAAGAAGGCGGGGCGGCGCGGGGTCTGCTGGGAGTTGTAGTTTCGGGCCGGGCCCGAGAGCTTCTTGACTCGTTTCCTTCTACCCCCACCGCCGCACAGCTGCCTATGGACTCTGGAGTTGCTGTGTATTGAGCATGGGGCACAGCCGGGGGTAAAAGGGGAGAAGGCTCCTTTAATCTGCGGATCGGGGCGCCGTTGATGAGTGTTAGAGGTGTTGGAACGCAGAGTAAGCGGCGCGCATGCGCGGCTGCCGGAGGTGGGGGCCGCTCCTCCCGTGCCACTCAGGGGCTGGCTGCTGCCTTAGGGCTGACTGGGCTCATAGGTAGGGCCTGCGGTGCAAGTTTGTGATAACACTGCCTGTAGGCTGCGGTTGTTAAGGCAGAGATTTGAAGGGGGTCGGTTGGGGGTGCTGGGTAGTGTCAGTAATCAAGGGTTTTAATCGCTACTCCATCCTGGCTTTCGGGAACCTCCCACCTCCTACCCTTTCCCAGTTTGCAGAATTGCAGCTTTCCCCATCCCCCACCCCGATCGCTTCGTGGGAAGCCTTTCCATACTGTGTTGTGAAATCCGTTAGACCTCAGCCAAGGCCTTTTAGCCCGCCCGGAATTCAAGCTGCCCCCTCCTTGCCAAATCCAGATCATGCGAGACAACAAAAGGCTTGAGGCACAAGCCCTACAAGGCAGTGCCCCTGCCAGTTCTCCTAAACTTATTGTTTACCCTGCCCTCTTCTTCCCCTGCAAATTCAGACAGCCAGGCGATAGATTAGATAAATAGATTCCATGTCCTTACATTTGCAACAGGCTTTCATAGATTCCTTTGCTCTGGAAGGTGGCATCATTATACAAAAGGACAAGTGAGAACACACGAATGTAATCAGTGGCAGAACCCTGGGACTGAACCCTACAGGAGTTCTAAGTCTATTGTTTCTCCTACCACTTCACAAATGTGTCAGAAAGAGCTGAATGAGGTGACCAGCTGCACCTGACGCTAGCTGGCTTTCGGAATGCTCAGGCCCTGGGCCCTTGGCTCACCACAACCACTCTTAAATTGACTAACAATTGCCCCTTAGTGAGTGACCTCTCCAGCAAGCCCGGAGGATTTTGCCCAGGGTAATGTTTCACATTGAGCACATACTTTGTGCTGGGCCCTGGAAAGGATGTACATCAGATCTTAAGTTAAAAGTTTCCTTTCCCCCAGGGAGACCAGGCTGTCCTATCAAGTATTCTGTATTTCCCAAAGGATAGTATTAGCCACACTTTGTTATATGATTGCTTGTTTGCCTGTTTTCTTTTCTTTTCTTTCTTTATTTCTTTGAGACAGGGTCTCCCTCTGTCACCCAGGTTGAAGTGCAGTGGTGCGATCATAGCTCACTGCAAGTTCAGACTCCTGGGCTCAAGCGATCCTTCTCCCACCTCAGCCTCTGGAGTAGCTGGAAGTACAGGCGTGCACCACCATGCCCAGCTAATTAAAAAAAAAAAATTTAGAGGAGGTCTCACAATGTTACTCAGGCTGATTTCAAACTTCTGGGCTCAAGTGATCCTCCTGCTTCAACGTCCCAAAGTTCTGGAATTACAGACACGAGCCACCCTACCTGGCCTGCCTGCCTTGCTTGAGAAGCTGCAGCACTATTTTGTTCACCATTGTATTAGCAGTGCTAACATATAGTGGCCTTTTCATACATGTCAAATAGACATATAAATGATGAATGCATGAGTCCAGTGTCTGACCTTCATGTCTGTGCCCAGAGTCTGTTGGGAGAGGTGGAGATGAAAATAGAGGTAGGCTGGGCACAGTGGCTCACACTTGTAATCCCAGCACTTTGGGAGGCCGAGGCGGGCAGATCATGAGGTCAAGAGATGGAGACCATCCTGGCCAACATGGTGAAACCCTGTCTCTACTAAAAATACAAAATTAGCTGGGCATGGTGGCACATGCCTGTAGTCCCAGCTACTCGGCAGGCTGAGGCAGGAGAATCGCTTGAACTTGGGAGGTGGAGGTTGCAGTGAGCCGAGATCGCTCCACTACAACCTGGTGACAGAGTGAGACTCCGTACCCCCCGCCACCAAAAAAAAAAAAAAAAGAAGAAGAAAATAGAGGTACATGTTTATACAAAGTTTGGAACAGGAAGGCAGATGCACATAACTGCCTGGCGTGGTTCCAAAAACCTGAATGGAGAAGGCAGTATCTGCTAATGGGGGCTCTCTGCTAAGCTTTGGAATTGTCCATTATTGTATTAGCATATAAGAAGTTATCACACCAAAGGCTCCCCATGAGCCTTGCCTGGGAAAGGGACTGATTATTTAAGAGCCAACCAGCACAGGTACGGAGATGCTACCCTCTTCTAGGTGGTCATCTGGAGAAGCTGTGCTTTCCAGGGACTCTGGATTTCTTCAAATATCCTTGGAATGCTCCTTGTGGAAATGGCTTTTGAATCTACAGCACATTCTTTTGGACCTCCTCAGCACAGGAACATCTCGTTCCTTTAGGGATTTGATAGTTGGGAAGAGCCAGAAGTCACTTGGCTGGAGGTCTAGAGTATGAGGAAGATGATCATGCTGCATAATAGCTGCTGTTGAAATTTGAAGGAAGGAGTTAGTATGCTGACATAGGGCAAGAGTTCTCATCCTGGAGTGTGTGGAAGTTTTTAAGTATATGTGTATTTTTGTCTATTTATTTTTGAGACAGGGTCTCACTCTGTCACCCAGGTTGGAGTGCAGTGGTATTATCTTGGCTCACTGCAACCTCTGCCTCCCAGGCTCAAGGGATCAATCCTCCCAGCTCAGCCTCCCAAGTAGCTGGGACCACAGGTGTGTACCACCATGTCTGGCTAAATTTTTGTATTTTTGGTAGAGACTGGTTTCACCATGTTGCCCAGGCTGGTCTTGAGCTCCTGAGCTCAAGTGATCCACCTGCCTCGGCTTCCCAAAGTGCTGGGATTACAGGCGTGAGCCCCCACACCTGGCTGTATGTGTTCTTTACTGAGGGATCCTGTTTTTAGCTTTAACAGATTTTCCCCAAGGACTCCATGATTCAAAGAAATGAACAACTACTGCTATAGATTCAGGAGATCTTAGGAATTCTTAGGAGAATCCTAAGAAATCTTAGGATTTCTTCTGTGGCTTGTAAAGTGGCTCTGAAGGAAAGTCATGTCTTAGGAAAGCAGAGGATAG
Source organism: Homo sapiens (assembly GCF_000001405.40). Taxonomy (NCBI): domain Eukaryota; kingdom Metazoa; phylum Chordata; class Mammalia; order Primates; family Hominidae; genus Homo; species Homo sapiens. The sequence goes on from NC_000009.12 coordinate 104,971,482, forward strand.
GTTTCAGCTGTGCCTGCAATTGGAAATGTTGTCTCAGTGGGTTTCAAAGCTCCAGAGCCTTGGTGACCCCACATACGAAGTGAAGAGTAGAACTGGGTAGGTGGTGTCTATGGGTCTGACTGTGACCCCATGAAATTCCAACAAAGGAATTTCAGAAATGTTCTTCCAAGATAGTGGAATCCCTGGACTAGGCATGTAATGCAAACTTCCCAGGTGACTCAAATGACGGCCCCAATTTGGATGCTTGTTAGTAGTGTGTGTAAGGAGGCAGACCTGGTCTTATTTCTCAGTAAATTCCAAACCCAGAAGGAAAAACCAGGAATGGTCCTTTTTGGCATCCCCAGCCTCTAACATAGGGCAGAGGGCTTTGGTGTGCGTCAGTAGTCTGGAAGGAGGAGCTCAGCCTGGTCACTTCTGCATTGGAGCCTAGAGCCTTTTTTTTTTTTTTTTTTTTTTTGCCATACTCTTAAGCCTGTAGCAGCCACTGTTGATCTGGGGGCCTTAAAAACAAGTTTGGGCCAGGTGTGGTGGCACACCCCTGTAATCCCAGCTCTTTGGGAGGCTGAAGCAGTTGGATCACCTGAAGTCAGGAGTTCGAGACCAGAGTGGACAACATGGTGAAACCCTGTCTCTACTAAAAATACAAAAATTAGCCTGGCATGGTGGTGCATGCCTGTGATCCCATCTACTCGGGAGGCTGAGACATGAGAATCACCTGAACCCGGGAGGCAGAGATTGCAGTGAGCCGAGAACACACCACTGCACTCCAGCCTGGGCAACAGAGTAAGACTCTGTCTCAAAAACAAACAAACAAACGAAACAAGTTTGGTCTCCTAATTTCATAAAACTCTGAGTACCCAAGAGTCACCCTTGAAGAGGAGAAAGGGATGGAAGGAGGACCCCTCCCCCATGTTGTACAATGAGCAGAGTCAGGGCAGAAACACAGAGTTCACTGAGATTAGAGACATGTGAAGAGCCGCCTTCACAGGCTCTCACCTCTCCCTGATTGTATGTACGTGGGCTTTTTGCTTCTTTGCTTTTTGCTCAAGCTGTTGACTCTGAAATTTCTTCTCTCCATTATTTTCACCTGCAAAATCCATTCTGAGGAATGCTGTTTCTTCTTAACAAGTTCCTGCACATTACTTAAAACTCTCAGATATGTACTCCACCAGGAACCTTTCCCTGAGATTCCATCCACACCCTGCACTCAGTTGTTTACCTGCTCCTCTGAGTGGTCATTATACCTTGACATTCCATTCTTTCAGCTGAAGGGCTCTAAAACCTCGCACCATTTGGCCACCCTCTGTCTCTGGTACATCTCTACTCTTCTTATTCCAGCCATATTGGTACAACCTGCCTCAGATACTCTTCCTCCTGCCTCTCTATAATTACCTGAAAAGCTCCTTCGTCCTGTAATACTCCCTCTGTTGTGTTCTCTACAGAAGCTTTCTCTGACCCCAGAAAGAGTTTATTGCCCTTCACCCTCTATCTTGAGACTTTGCAATTTTTTTTAACATACCTATCACAGCACTGAACACACTACTTTACATAGAAATGTTCTGTTTATACACCTATCATCTGAGCTAGACTGTGGGTTCCTTTACCACAGAGACCTTTCTTCTCACCACTCTTGAGCTTGGGACTTAATAGATACTCATTAAATGTTGAATAAATGAATTAATGAATATTATTGTTTGTCTACATGTGTGTTCCTCCTACTTTTTTATGAAGTCTTTGAGGCTAGGAATAATGGCTTACTTATATCTTATTCCTGATAGCTAACTTAGTGCCTGGTATATAGTAGGCACCCAATAAATATTTTCATTGGATATACATGGATGAATGAATAAAGTCTTTTGTTAGTATCTCCAACCTGATATATCCTTTCCCTCCTTTGAAACCTCAAGCGCCTGGTGTTTCTCCTGTGGTACTTTCTTTAGCTTGGACTTCTCTCATTGTCTAATCCCCGCCAGTTGATGGTCAGCTCTTTGAGGCGGGAGCTGGGCCTTACTTCCCTTGGTGTCCCCTGAGAGTCTGTCACAGCGTGGGGCATATAGCGGGTGCTCCAAGTTGAACTGTTCTGAGAAAAATGAAAGTATCTGTGATTCAGAGCCACCATTCCAGCAATGAGAGTCCCAACAGCTATACATATTGAATCTCTTAATAACACCACTTTGCTTCATGCACAATTAATGTTGCCAAACTCTGGGTGATACAGGCAGGCAAAGTTGAAAAGACCACATCATTATTATTATTATTATTTGAGACAGAGTTTCACTCTTGTTGCTGAGGCTGGAGTGCAATGGCACAATTTCAGCTGCAACTTCTGCCTCCCATGTTCAAGTGATTCTTCTGCCTCAGCCTCCCGAGTAGCTGGGACCAAAGGCACATGCCACCACACCCAGCTAATTTTTTGTAGTTTTAGTAGAGACAAGGTTTCACCATGTTGGCCAGGCTGGTCTTGAACACCTAACCTCGGGTGATCCACCCACCTTGGCCTCCCAAAGTGCTAAGATTACAGACATGAACCACCGTGCCCAGCCATGAAAAGACCACATTATTTCATATTTGTTTTAGCTGTAATGCTCTGTACTCGTTGGTGCTCAGTCAATATAATTTTCAAATAAATAAGGACATGAGGCCATCTAAGTATGGATGAGCCCCAGAGTCCAAAAGCATAGCAGAAAGATGAAAATCACATCAGCCCCTGAGGAGAAATGAGAAAGTAGCCCCGTGCATTCCCCTTCAGGGTAGTGGCTTTAAAAGAATTGAAAAACTTGTTTTTCTCCATAAAAGTCTTGAGTGCAAACATGTAGTTGAAAACTATACACTTTGAACTTCAAAACGTTAAGGTTCCTGTAATCTGGCCATAGCTAAATAGAGAAGAGCAATCCTCAAGATTAGAATCTCTCAGTTGTGGGGAATTCTCATGTTGGCTTTTTGCCTGGGCAGTCATTCACTCTACTCCCTTCCTCTTTTTCCTCTTTCCTTCCTTTTTGTTTTTCTTTTATTCTGCCTATCTTTATTGAGTGTTAACTCTAAGCTAGGAACTCACTCTTCTAATTGCTTTATACTCATAATGTCTCACGAACCTCATGACAACTCTGTGATGTGGGTATTAGTATCTTCACATAAGGTATGACAAAACTGAGGCTCAGATTTAAGAACTTGCCTAGGGCCCCACAGCCAGTAAGTGCTGGGATCATATTTGAATCCAGGCTTCAAGTTCCAAAGTTTGTATCTTGTTACTTAATTCCTACATTATAAGTCCCCACTACACAGATCAGTGGTTCTTCTCTCACATACCTTACAGACAGCTGGGAAGACAGACAAGTGGGTCAGACGTTAGCAAAGAGTAACTCTGGAACACAGAGAAGGTCATCTATGTCGGGGGCTGGGGGCGGGGAGGAGGATAGGCCATGGCTTCCCAGGAAAAGGGTCACTCAAATTGAGATCTGAAGGGTAAATGGGGGTTTGGTCGATCCAGACAGGAGCATCATCTGGACAGAGGTACAGCAAGTACAAAAACCCTGGGGAGTGGGATGCAGCCCAAAACATTCAAGGAACTGTGTTTCTTTGAGTAAAAATCTTAGTCGTTCTGTTTTCAAATCATTATTATTTTTTTTATAGCTCACAGTGGCTGTCTGTGCTTTTGTCCAAAAGTGCTGAAGTGTAAGGGTAAGTGGTCATCGAAATGAATTAAGGTTTTCATGTCGGTTTCAAATGCTTTTGAGATGACCAGTGCACTCTGATATCCAAATAACATAGCAAAGTGGTCAATGCCACGTGCCCTGCTGTTCCACCAAACTCAGAGAGCTGGGAAAGGGTGCTAGGATCCTTTAGGGACACAAAAATCCAAAATCCAGAAGGCAAAGGAATTATCATTTATCACTTGCACAGGATATGTAAGTAAATCATTTTATTCTCGTGATATCAGTCATGAAATTTGAACTCAATTAAAAAAGAAATGATTCCAGGAGTCTCCTCAAACACTCAAATTATATTAAGATCTAAGGTAGTAGGTCCATGAGGATCCATTATACTATTCTCTGAATTTTTTTTTTTCTTTTTTTAGACGGAGTCTCGCTCTATCACCCAGGCTGGAGTGCAGTGGCGAGCTCTCCGATCACTGCAACCTCTGCCTCCTGGGTTCAAGTGATTCTCCTGCCTCAGCCTCCCAAGCAGCTGGGATTACAGGCGATCGTGACCACGCCTAGCTAATCTTTGTATTTTCAGTAGAGAGGGGGTTTCAGCATGTTGGCCAGGCTGGTCTTGAACTCCTGACCTCTGGTGATCCACCGCCTCGGGCTCCCAAAGTGCTGGGATTATTGGCCTAAGCCACCATGCCTGGCCGCTCCCTAATTGTGTATAAATTTTTCGTAATAGTTTTCTTTTTAATTTTTAATAGACTGTTTTGGGCTGGGAGTGGTGGCTCATGCCTGTAATCCCAGCACTTTGGGAGGCTGAAGCGGGCAGATCAGCTGAGGTCAAGACCAGCCTGGCCAACATGGTGAAACCCCATCTCTACTAAAAAAATACAAAAATTATCCAGGCTTGGTGGCACCCACCTGTAATCCCAGCTACTCAGGAGGCTGAGGCAGGAGAATCATTTGAACCTGGGAGGCGGAGGTTGCATTGGGCCGAGATTACGTCACTGCACTCCAGCCTGGGAAACAAGAGTGAAACTCCACCTCAAAAAAAAAAAAAAAAGACATTTTTAGGGAAGTTTTAGGTTCACAGCAAAATTGAGCAGAAAGTACAGTGAGTTCCAATATGCTCCCTGGCCCTACACATGCACAGCCTCCTCCACTAGCAACATCTAGTATTGCAGTAGTTTTGTAAACAATATAATCTTTCAATCAGATACAGATTACAGGTGCTCTATTTATTTAATGAACGTACAGTGAGAATCTCGTCATTTGCCTGGCATTTTGCTAGATTTTAGGGCTACATCAGTGAGCAAAACAAACATGATCCCTGCCCATAATGTTGTTTATAGTCTGGAGGAGAGAGAGCCATTAAAAGACAATTTCACGTGGCTCACGCCTGTAATCCCAACACTTTGGAAGGCCGAGGTGGGCAGATCACGAGGTCAGGAGATGGAGACCATCCTAGAGAACACGGTGAAACCCTGTCTCTACTAAAAATACAAAGAAATTAGCTGGGCTTGGTAGCAGGCACCTGTAGTCCCCGCTACTTGGGAGGCTGAGGCAGGAGAATGGCATGAACCCAGGAGGCGGAGCTTGCAGTGAGCCAAGATCGTGCCACTGCACTCCAGCCTGGGCAACAGAACGAGACTCCTTCTCAAAAAAAAAAAAAAAAAAGATAATTTCACAAAAAAACTAGTTATAAACTATGATGAGGGAAAGCAAAAGATGCTCAAAGGTGTATGATAGGATTACTGCCTTAGTATAGGTGGTCAGGAGAGGCTTTGCCAAAGAAAATCAGCAGGTAAACTGGGATCTGAAAGATAAATAGGAATTAACTAGGCAAAGATGGCAGGGGAAAGTGTTTTAGGCAAATGCAATAGCACATGCAAAGACGTAAGGCGAGAAGGAGCCTGACATATTTTAGGATCAAAGTTGAGCAGAAAATGACAGAGAGATGAGGCTGGAGAGCCAAGCGGCAGCCAGAACAATTGGGTGCTACAGGCTATGTCCAAGTGTTGTCTTTGTTTTTACCCAGAGTGATAGGAAATAGCGATGGGTCTTATGCAGAAAGTGACACAAATCGATTTTGTTTTAAAACAATGGCCCCCCAGAAATGATGGTATTATAATACAGTGGTAATAGTAGGAAGGCAGAAAAATGGGGCGATGCCAAAATAGTTTATGAGGTAGAAGCAACAAGACTTGGCATTTGCTCCTCTTCATAAACACAGGAGAGTGTTGGGTTTCTAGGCTTGCAAAATTGAATAGATTGTGGTGTATGTACTGGGATAGGAGCAAGGGCGATGGGAGGATAAGGAATTTGCGAGGGCTTTATAGCTATTTTTTTTTTTCTATTTCAAATAATAACCACTCTGTGCTAGGCACCATGGTAGGTAATTCACATTCAGTATCATAGACGCCCTCTTATCTGATGCAATAGGAACTGGCGGCAGGTTGATTCCCATACAACCATGGCTCAACAGGCTTTAAAAAATTCCATTTACTGCCCTCTGTTATAATTTCTAGTGCACATTGTTTATTACCTAGGTACCACCCATTGGCATATGGATTTATGAAGCTCAAAGTATTGTTTCCAAGTCCTATGCCACTTCTTTTTTCATGTGACTCACTAGGTAACTCCTATACCATTTTTCCTCTCTCTGAACTATACCTACTCCATGGTAACAGGTTTAACAGGTTTATCTAGGCATCTTTCCCCTCCCATTTCATGGTCAGTTAAAGTCCTCTTTATCAGGTCTGGTGATCACTGGACAAGCATGTTCTCAAACTCTTCATGGTAGAAGTTCATCTTCTTTGATCCATTATCCCAAATCCTCCATCCCATTACAGTTCCATTTTTCTCTGGCCTTGCTTACCTTCCTAAGGCACTGCAGTAATTTGCCCACTGTTACAGAAATCAGTCCCCAAATTCTCACTTTCCATTTCAAAGCCCTTATCAGAATAGACTATTGCATTATTTCCATCTTTATTCTAGACTGCCTCTCTATGTCTCTGAGGCCCTTCTGTTATTGATTCTCCTTAGCAGCAACCAAGAGCATACAGGATGTTTTCATGTATGTTGTCCCATTTAATCCTTACAACTCTCTTTAGTCCCTTTCCTCATGCCTGGCATATAATAGTCATCTAAATATTTGTTGAATTAATGAATGAACTGGGCCAGGTGCAATGTATTCTCAGCACTTTGGGAGGCCAAGGCAGGGGAGGATTGTTTGAACTCAGGCATTTGAGAACAGCCTGGGCAACATAGCTAGACCTGATGTCTACTAAGCATTTTTTGAAAGTTAGCCAGGCATGGTGGTGCACACCTATAGTGCCAGTTACTTGAGAGGCTGAGGAAGGAAGTGCACTTGAGCGTGGCGGGTCAAAGCTGTAGTGAGCTGTGATTGTGCCACTGCACTCCAGCCTGGATGACAGAGTGAGACCCTGTCTCAAAAAAACAAAAAAACCAAACCAAAACAAAACAAAACAAAAAACAACTCTGTGTTGCTGGAAAAGCAAAGAATTTTTTGTTTGAAGAGAGATCAGGCTCTAATTTCCATTTTAATAGTTTTAACATTTGTTTTCATAAATAACAGCCCATCTATAAACCGTTAATACTAATTTTTAACTATTTATTTATCATAGTATAGTTGATTCTGTATGAATGACTGTACTATTAAGTATGAACTTCATACTCCTAAGTGAATTATTGTTTAAATTACAGGCAAGACTATACACTACTAGACAGTAACAATTTAAAATTAAAAAATAAAATAGTTGGCCAGGCGTGGTGGCTCACGCCTGTAATCCCAGCACTTTGGGAGGCTGAGGCAGGTGGTTCACGAGGTCAGGAGTTCGAGACCAGCCTAGCCAAGATGATGAGACCCCATCTCTACTGAAAATACAAAAATTACCTAGGCCCAGTGGCGGGCGCCTGTAATCCCAGCCACTCGGGAGGCTGAGGCAGGAGAATCGCTTGAATCTGGGAGGCGGAGGTTGCAGTGAGCCGAGATCGCGCCACTGCATTTTAGCCTGGGTGACAGAGCAAGGCTCCATCTCAAAAAAATAAAATAAAAATAAAAAATAAAATATAATTTATTTCATGGTATCGCCAAAACACACATTTAGAATTTTAACTTTGACTGTACATTGAACATAGCTAGATGACTATTTTTATAATACTTTAATGCCTCTTCCAGGGTTGCATCAGACAGCATGTTTTTGCCTAGATAGTGCCATATTATTGTTTTGTGCATCTGGTTAGTACTTTATATTTACAAAATGCATGCCAATCATATTATTAGTATTTCAACAAAGCCCTACTGTGAGTTAGCTCAGCATTCCTGAAGACAAGCATAAAAAGAAGTATGCAGTTATCAAGAGGATGCTGACAGGGTTCAAGTGAAATATCGATGAACAATAATTCACTTTATTCAAAACAGAAGTTTCTCTAGATACATTTCAGCAGAACTGTCAAAACCTCTTTCTGTATCATTTGAATTTCCAGCCTTAGAAATGAACCCTAATTTTCAAAGAAATAAATGATTATTTTATTGGATCTTACTTTCAATGTTACGGCTTATGTTACTACTTAAAACTTACACACACAAAGGTCTAAGTTTATGAAGGCAATGTTTAAATCATTATTTCACATATGATAACTCACTTGCATTCTTAGCCAGAGAAACTTTTTGAAAGTCAGATTAAAGTAAAAATTAGATGATCTTGTGGGAGAGAATCAGAATCATTCAACTTAATGGATTTGGGAGGGCCGCAAATTGCCTGGAATTTGCCAGCTTAAAGATGAAATTTTAGTTAATTAGCCCAAAACACTTACCTATCATTACCTACATACAGACCAGCATAGTCCAAGAACCTGATCTAACTCAAGAGACGGCCCCAGTCCATAAAGGACTCAAAGAAAGAGAGGAGCAAACACAAATGAATGAAGTGAAATTATTTGTATCAGTTAGGGATTGTATTTGGCTGCCCAAACTTCCCCACACCTCAATCTTGGACTTCCATGAACTGTGAGTCGTTTATGCCACTCAGTCTGTGGTATTTTATTACAGCAGCCCTAACAAACCGATACACCCTGTTGATTTGCTTTGACAGGCCACTCCACATGTGGCCTCAGTTTCATGATTCAAGGTGGAGGCTCTACCTCCAGCCTCTCATCCTTGTTTCAGACAAAAAGAAGCAGAAACACGCTAAGAAGGAAGGGGACGACAACACAGACATCAGAAAAACAAGACTTTCTGGTGACTTCCCAGCAGACTTTCTCGTAGCTTCAGTGGCAAACCTGAGTCACAGAGTCTTCCACCCCACTCCCACTCCTGCCCAGCACTGTGGGAAATGGGGAGTAATGTTTCTTTTTTAAAAAATAAAAACTAGGCATATTGCCATCCCAAACAAAACTAAAGCTCTGCTAACAATGAAGAAAGGACAAATAAATATTAGGTAGGCAACCAGCAATGTCTACCATACTAGTTGTTTGAAATGTGAAGATAAAGACACATGAATGCATTGGTGCAAGAAAGAACATGTGGATTGGTGATTAGACCAATTAGAGGAAGAAGAGCTGGGCTAGAAGCAAAGGACCCAGACCCCACAATCCTGGCTTCAGGTTCTGCTTCTTCTATTTTCTTGCAGGTTGATTTGAGAAATACGCTTCACGTTTTTCAGCTGCTGTTTACTGTCCTGGAAAATAAGGATCATAAGGCTTTTCCTGTGTCCTCTCTCAAGGTTGTTATAAAATTTCAAAGTCGATAAAAATACAAAATTAGTTGGGCAGGGTGGCACATGCCTGTAATCCCAGCTACTTGGGAGGCTGAGGCAGAAGAATCACTTGAACCGAGGAGGCAGAGGTTGCAGTGAGCCAAGATCGCGCCACTGCACTTGAGCCTGGGTGACAGAGCACGACTCTGTCTCAAAAAAAAAAAATAGATTTCAAAGTCGAATAACGTATATAAAGTGCCTTGTATAATTGTGATGCAAGCATAAGCTGCAGGTGGAGTATATTTTAAATGTTCCCAAGTGTGCACAAGGAGCTACATTCAAGAATGTTAATTCCAGCATTATCTTTAATAGCCAAAGTTTGGTTTAAAAAAAAAAAAACCAAATGTCCATCAACAGAACAATAGATACATTTTTGTTAATTCATGTAGTGTGGCATAGCTTACAACACTTAAAATAAGTAAAATTTGACAAAGCTAGGTGGTAGGTACTAAGGTATTTGTTATGCTACTCTGTTTTTTTTTCTGTATGATTGAAACAGTTCCTAATTTTATAAATTAGCCAAAAAGAAAAAAAAAAAGCTTTGGGCAGTGTTTCTCAATATTTGGTCCACAAACCACCTGCATCAAAATCACTCCAGATAAATGCAGATTGCTGGACCCCTGCTAGGCCTAGGACCAGAGAAACTCTAGTCTGTATTTCAAACAAAACTACCAGGTGATTCCTAGAGGACAATTGAGGCAGGGATTGGGAGGAGAAAAGAGTTTCGTAGAAAATGATAAAACCTGGGGCTGAGGGAAGAACTCAGGTAGAGGCTGGGGGAGTGCTGAAATGTCATACCCCTCAGAGGCTAGGGTGGAACGCTTGAGCTGGCTCTGCTGGACAGAGACATGGAGGGGAGTTCATTAGTGAGCAGCATCTATTAGTTAGGATTAAACTGTGAGACATGGAGAACCCCAAATATCAGCGGTTTAAGTGGAAAAGCCTCGTATTTCCCTCTCGTGTGAAAGAAGTCTGGAGAAGCCAGGTGTGCTCCACACTACTGCTCTGCTTGCCTCACCCGCCTCTTGGCCTTAGATGACTGTTGAGCTTCAGTCACCATGACCCCATTGCAACCAACAGGAAGGAAGAAAAGGAGAGAAAAATGGCCTATTCCCTCCCTTTAAGGAAACTTTCCAAAAGTATCACAAACTCTTTCTGCTTATATCTAGAGTGTAGTCACATGGCCATTCCTAGCTGGACGGAAGACGAGGACACTTTGTGTTTTATTCCGGATGGCCAAGTGCCTACCTAAAAATGGGGGTAGAGGAGGCTTTATCACCATTGAGAAAGAGACAGAATCAGGAGAAGGTTAGTGGCTTCTGTCACACAAGTCCAGACGGTTAAGAGCCTATGACAGTCTCTTTGAAAAGATCCAGTAAAAGGCTGTGAAGATTACAGGATCTGAGAGATGCTGGTCAGGTGATTTCTGGTGTAGCAGTTAAGCTAGATGCTCGCTTCTCAAGTGTAATTCATTGGCCAGCAGCATGGACATCACCTGGAAGCTGGCTAGAACTGCAAAATCAGGCTCAACCCCAGCCCTGCTAAATCAGAAGCTGGATTTTAACAAGATCCCAAGTATGGGGCTAGAAGATCTCAGAAAAGAGAAAAGTTAGAAACTGGGGAGATTGGTAGCACAGACTAGAGACGTGGGAGTCTTGTAGGTAAAGTGATGGTTGGGCTTCTGTGTGCCAGTTGGCTCCTTAAGGAAGTGAATGTGAGACAGGAAAATAGGGAGTTAGGGTAACCAAGGGTTAAGATATTTGTTATGTTACAAATGGCAAAAGAACAGCAGGTGCAGCCAGTTCTAGGCAAGATTAGGCAGCATACAGGCCACATCCTCACTCTTGCGATAACAAGATAGAAGTTTCCACTTTAGCCTCGGATTGACCACAGGCCAAGTCTCCACTTCAGCCTCTGATTGGCCACAGGCCAGGTCTTCATAGGGTGTAACCAGTTGGAGGCCTCTAAAGGGTACCTAGGGGTGTTACCAAATTCTTTTAGTTTAATAAAAACTCTAAAGAACATGGCAACCCTGCCGTGCTTGGTGGCTCATGCCTGTAATCCCAGCTCCTTGGGAGGCTGAGGTGGGCGGATCACTTGAGGCCAGGAGTTGGAGACCAGCCTGGCCAACATGGTGAAACCCCATCTCTACCAACAACAACAACAATAAAAAAACAGAAATTAGCCTGGTGTGGTGGTGCACACCTGTGATCCCAGCTACTCGAGAGGCTGAGGCAGGAGAATCACTTAAACTGGGAGGCGGATGTTGCAGTGAGCTGAGATCACACCACTGCACTCCATCCTGGATGACAGAGTGAGACTCCATCTCAAGTAGAAGAACATTGTAGTTGGGGCTCTAGAGCCGCTTGCTGGAGCCTGCTCCCACTCTGTGGAGTATGAACTTTCACTTCAATAAATCTGCACTTTCATTGTTTCTGTCTTCTCTCATTGCTTCATTCTTTTGTTGCTTTGTGCATTTTGTTCAATTCTTTGTTCAATGTGCCAAGAACCTAGACAACTCACAGTCAAGACTTTCCATCCTGTAACAAATGCAGAGGTGGCCAGAAAGCTGAGTGCTTCAACTCAGGGATGAGAGTGGAAGAAATTGCCAGAAAATAATTAGGAACAAGCGAAAGAAAAGCACTTGGAAAGAAAGCAGTCTTGAAAACAAACTTTAAAAGAGTATCAGTGAAATACAGATCCAATTACCCTGCCCTGTGGACCAGGCAGTCCTTAATCCTCACAACAACCTTGAGTGGTAGGATCTATGATTCCCATTTCACGTGATGAAACCGAGCTTCAGAGATGATGGCTTGCCAAGATCACACACTAAATACTGACATAGCTCACTATAACATCTTGTAGAGATCTGACTAGTTTACAAAGCATGATTAAATGCATTATCTAATTTAAGCCTCACAATTACTTTGTAAAGTAAACAGAAAGTGGCTGTTAATTTTGCAAGTAAAGAATTCCAGGACTTTTGATTCTCAGTCCAGTGTTGTTTTGTTTTTCTCTCATTTTTCTTCCCTTATTTCTTGACACATTGATGATAATGAAGAATAGATGTGAGTACAGGATTCCTCAAACCTGAATTTAACTGTGTTTGTGAGGGTCCAGCTCAGGGACAGACATTCAGTAAACCCTCCAATGATAACTGATATTGTTGTTTTTCTTATAATTACAACTATTGGCTTTGTTCAATAAAGCAATATTTATAAAAGTAATTTATTAGAATGAGAAGTACAGAAACCAAAAATGGAGGGGAAATTTGAATGAAGATACGATGTCAGAAATGAGGGAAGGAACTCTAAATAATACTTCGGAGCCTGAACTTTGGAGTTAGACAAGTTGAGTTCACATGCCAGCCCTGCTGCTTATCAGAATGGGGAGTTTGGGCAAAGTGGCTAACAGCCCATCGCCTCCACTTCCTCATCTTCAAGGCTGCCACTTCACGAGATATTATTATGAAGATTGAAAGAGATAAAGTACATAAGATGCTAGCCCAATGCTCAGAATAAATATTTAATAATTACAGCTATTATTAAATCCTGGTTATGGATGGAAGAGTGGACTTGGTAAAAGTCCAAGCCGCAGCAGGTTTGAGAATAAAATAACCTACATTGACTGCTTTGAGTGTTTATCAGTTTGTAGACTTCATTTATATCAACTTTAAAAAGGATAATCTCTCTTCCTCAGGCCCACTGTTTTTACACTCTGATTATAATTAACTTGCCTCTTAATGACACTGCATTCATGACTGATGTTTCCCAGTTGTAGGTTTTTTAATTCCTATATTTCTCATAAACGTATTTGGTAACTGAATCTAGCAAATGAGTACAAAACAAAGAGTCATAGCCCTTTACCTTTAATGTCTATGAAGTGAAAGAGATCAAAGGGGAAACTCTGAACTTACTGTCTCATTTATGAGAAGCTTTGGAACAATTTATGAAGGCGACAGATGTTCTGCTTCCTAGAACCTTTTTGTTCCATCCCCAAATCTATATTTTCCTTTAGTATATTGATTTCTTGTTACAGAGCAGGAATAGCTATTAAATATCTTTATTTGGAAGCTTGGGGGTGCCAGAATGTGAGAGGAAAAATGCATCAGTAGCTAAGGGACAGTTGATGGGGTGGGTGCAGGAGGGCCCAAGAGAAGGTAATCTGTGTCTGGGAAATTATTTACAATTTGAAAGGCACAGAGACTTGCCAGAGGAAGAAAAGAGGGAGCAAATGAGAGAAGCATCCAATCACGCTGAGCCCTTTGATGGATGAGGAAGATACTTTAAAAGATGAGAAAGCACTTTCCCTATCAGCCAGATGGCTCATCTAATCTCTCTTTGTAGCTAGCAGCAGAGGGGAAAGATCCAGTGTAAAAAATTATGGAATATCTGTTGGGAATAAGCTGATGCAAACCAATCACAAATCGAAGTGTTTTTCTTTTCAGTTTTGATGAGGGGACACTGATTTCTATTTGGGGGTGGGACTGGATTTTGACTACCAAAATGTAGCTGGAAATTGAGTTGATTGATTATGAACAATGTTCCAAACACTGTTTCTCTCAGCAATGCAAATAACATTTCTGTGGTGTATTTATAGTTTCAAAGCATCCTCACCTGCATTCTCTGATTTTATCTTATAAATAGCCCTGTGAGGTAGGTGTCATTATCCTCATTTTATACTTGAGATAAGTGAGGCTTACAGAAATTAATTAACAACAGTCTCCAAACTTGGGTCTGTTTTACTATACTAGCTTTCTTTGGGTCTTCCAACAAATGGCAATCTATGGCCACAGTTCCCACAAACAGCTTTCTTTTTTTTTTTTTTTTTTTTTTGGTGGGGGGAGGGGCGGGGGGCATCTCTGCCAAGCATCTCCTAGATTTCCATAATGTTTTTCCCTCCAAGCCAATTCCATGATCCTTGGCATCTCTCAAAGGCCTGAAGAGGCCACCTGAGGTTGCCTGGAGGGTGAGTGCTAGGAGTGGAAAAGGGTGGCACAGTCCTATGAGCCACTAAGCTACTGCTTCCCTTGGCTTTGGGGGACGCGGTGTCCTGGTGACATCACTGTCCCCTTGCAGTGCCCTCTCTTGTATCCCCTTAGAGCTCCTGGGCTGCCTTCCAGCCATCCTAAGTATCCCATCCCTTCAAAGTCTGTTTACTTCCATCCCCCTCAGGACATCTCAGCCAGGAAAGCAATCACTTTTTGCACATTACTATCTCCTTAAGATAATTTCTAGCTTAGAGAACAAACAGCCAGGGAAGACAATGTCTTCCTTGGCCACACTGGACATGCTCCATGGGCAGAAAGCCTCCAGGCTTGAAGCTACTTCTCCACTTCCTCCCCTCCTGATAACTTCCTGGCCTGTTGGAACCTCTTCCACAGTCGGTGGTCAATAAGCTTAAAATTGTGCCTACACCCAGAGGACAGGGAGTCTTGCATCAGCTTGGCAGTGCAGAGTAACGCCAGCTATAGTTGCAGAGACCACAATAGTTATTAGTTAGAATATACATGTGCCTGTATTTGAACTTTGGTATCACCACTTGCTAACTGTGGTACGTTCTCTGTGACTCAGTGTATGCATTTTTCAAGTGGGGTAATAATATTACATATAGAGTTATAATGAGGATTAAAAGTGTTGTATATGTAAAGTGCTTAGAATTGTTCTGGCATAAAAAAAACTCCATAAGGATTCAATCAATTAAATTGTTTAAATTCCACTTTTTGAAGTGCCTACTCTATGCTAGGTTCTTTACATCTGAAATTCAGATGCCAGCTGGAGTTATCCTGACCCCTCAGATGGAAATAAGTGGTTAAGACCTCCTTTTCTATGGATTATGGTAAACCAAATAATCTTCCCAAGCCTTCTTTGAATTCCAAAGGGTTCCTTATATTTCTTGATTAGCTCAGGCTCCCAACACCAGCTTCTTCAGAATTATTCTCGTAAGGGATTGTTTTGCTGTAGTCCACATTGTATCTCACAGATGTTTAACTCAAATTAATACTCACAGGAAACTTATAGAGGCGTTCACGTATGTAGTGACATTTATTAAAGTTTGGAAAAAAGGAGGTTTTACATTACAAAAAAACCGTCAATTTTATTTTATTTATTTATATATATTTTTTGAGATGGAGTTTCGCTCTTGTTGCCCAGGCTGGAATGCAATGGTGAGATCTCGGCTCACCACAAT
Organism: Homo sapiens; assembly: GCF_000001405.40. Lineage (NCBI taxonomy): Eukaryota > Metazoa > Chordata > Mammalia > Primates > Hominidae > Homo > Homo sapiens. The sequence continues at coordinate 104,987,098 of NC_000009.12, forward strand.
CTCCGCCTCCCAGAACCCAATCAATTTTAAATTCAGTATCAGTCATCTCTATTCTTTAAGGCCTTGGACCAGGTCCACATTTTAAGATCTGGCCTCCTGCTGAATTCCTTAATCTTTCTCTCTCTTCCTTTTTCCTAGTGTCTCAGTCCATTCAGGCTGCCATACCAAAATATCTTATGCTGGGTAATTTATAAACAATAGAAATTTGTTGCTCACAGTTCTGGGGGCTGAGAAGTCCAAGATCGTGGTGCCAGCATGGTCATGTTCAGATGAGGGCCCACTTTCTGATTCATAGATGGTACCTTCTCACTGTATCCTAACAAGGTGGAAGGGACAAATAAGCTCCCTTAGTCCTTTTTATAAGGGCACTAATCCCATTCATAAGGGATCTCTCCCCATGACCTAAACACTTCCCAAAGACCACGTCTTAATACTATTGCATTGGAGATTAAGTTGAAACATGTTAATTTTGGGGAAACACATGCATTCAGACCATAGCCCCTACTATCTTTCCTCCTTACGCCTTCACTCCAGATTGCCCCAGACTCCAAATTCTTGTTCCATAATGCAGAAAAATCCATTAAGTTCTCTCTAACCAGCTGTTTAAAAATCTGGCCAGCTGGGTGCAGTGGCTTACACCTGTAATCCCAACACTTTGGGAGGCTGAGGTGGGAGAATCATTTGAGGTCAGGAGGTCAAGACCAGCCTGAGCAATGTATTGAGACCCTATCTCTACAAAAATTAAAAAATTAGGTGCAGTGGCATGCACCTGTGGTCCCAGCTACTCAGAAGGCTGAGACAGGAGGATTACTTGAGCCCAGGTGGTTGAGGTTGCAGTGAGTCATGATTGCAACACTGAGCAACAGCCTGGGCAACAGAGCAAGACCTTGTCTCCAAAAAAAAAGAAAGAAAAAAGAAAAACCTGGCTAAACTTTTAAAGACCACTACGTCTGTCACTCAAAAACCTTGCTAAAGATTAAAAAATTATCTTTTTAAGGACTTCTTTAAATTATTGGCCAGAAATTAAACTCATTCTCATTTGTGTTTGTATGTAGATGGAAAAGAGAAGAGGATTTTTTTTTTTCTTGGAGATAGAGTCTCATTCTGTTGCCCAGGCTGGAGTGAAGTGGCACACGATCTTGGCTCACTGCAACCTCCACCTCCTGGGTTCAAGCGAGCCTCGTGCCTCAGCCTCCTGAGTGGCTGGGATTACAGGCATGAGCCACTATGCCAGGCTAATTTTTGTATTTTTAGTAGAAACGGGGTTTTGCTGTGTTGGCCAAGTTGGTCTTGAACTCCTGACCTCAAATAATCCGCCCGCCTCCACCTCCCAAAGTGTTGGCATTACAGGCATGAGCCACTGCACCCGGCCAAGGGCGGTTATTAAACACACATTATCTCAATTAGTTCTCACAGCAATACTGCAAGGTAGGTCTGATTCCCCCCAATTTTATAACTAGGAACACTGAGAACCAGAGAAATTAAAGAGTACACTCAAGGTCATCTAGTTGGGAAGGGGTGAACAGAGTCAAGACCATGGGACCACGTCAGTCTGACACCAAATCCCTCACTGCTTTCATTACACCACACTGCCTCATATGTTATGCTTGGCCTTATGAATCTGAAATATCCCAAGGTGATGACAGAGATTAGAGGAAACAAATGCAACTCCTCCCTGAGGGAGCCAATTGCATCTTGGACAACCCCAAGCTGTTTCTCCTGGCTGCCATCTTAATGTAGATGTCTTCGTACACCATGCCCAGACCTGAGCCCAGCCTTCCAGGTGGGATCTGACCAGAACACAGGAGAGCAAAACCACCCACTATATTCTTTACTCTGGATTTCTAGTTATGAAATCTGAGGTGCCTTTGGCTCCTTGAACCCAAATTGCATTGCTGATTCTTTCCTGGCTTTCAGCCAGTGGAAACCCCTAAAACAAAGGTCCCCCTTAAGTTCCGGCATCAATCCCAGGGTGGATCCTTGCTTCACCACTTCTTATGAGAATTTAGGCAACTCAGCTCTCTTATTTAATCAAGGGTATTGTTGATTGCACTAAAAGAGACAACAATACTATTTATCTCATAAAACTGTTAGAAGAATTAAATGAATTAATGCATGCATAATGCTAACCCAGTATCTGGAACATTGTAAAGTTCAACAAACATTAGATGTAATAGTAATACTTACAAATGTCCATCTCTTCTCCCACTTCCAAACAAATTTGATCTCTCCACTTCCCCATCTTCCCCCACTCCCAACACATACACACACAAACCCATTACTGAAACGCACTCTCCTAAAGCAGAAAATCTGGCCTTAGGAACCCTGGATTCAGTTTTTCTGTTTGTTTGTTTGTTTGTTTGTTTTGAGACAGAATCTTGCTCTGTCACCCAGGCAGGAATGCGGTGGTGCAATCTCAGCTCACTGCAACCTCCACTTCGTGGGTTCAAGTGATTCTCCTGCCTCAGCCTCCCAAATAGCTGGGACTACAGGCATGTGCCATCACGCCTGGCTAAATTTTTTTGTATTTTTAGTAGAGATGGGGTTTCACCATGTTAGCCAGGCTGGTCTCGAACTCCTGACTTCAGGCAATCTGCCCGCCTCAGCCTCCCAAAGTGCTGGGATTACAGGCATGAGCCACCACGCCTGGCTGGATTCAGTTCTATCACATGCTAGCTGCATGACCTTGAGAAAGATGCTCAACTTCTCTAAGCTGCAGTTTCTTCCTCTGTAAAATGGAAACCATAATTGTGTATTGACTTAACTCACAGCATCATCGTGAGGATTACATAAGGTAGAAATATAAGGAAGCTCCATATTTATTGGTACATTATTTCCATTGTCCTTGTAATGATGTTGGTAGTTTTTTTAAAAACTAATTACAGGTCTTTGTACTAATCTCTATTAAAATGTATACACTTATTTACGATTTATCAGATTAACATTGCTGCTCTATGTTCAGCCTTTGTATTTTTTTCTCATGTGATACATTTATCTGTGAGTTTTTAAAAACTCTATTCATATTAAAATGACAGCATAGGACCCCTATCCCTGCTAGTCACAAATTTTATTTTATTCATTAACAATAAATCCACAACAATTGGCTACATTATATACTGTTCTGGGGGCAATGACAGAGTCAAAGAAATAAAATTTGGGGTGTGTGCCCTCGAGTCTGTTAGTCCTCTGGGGAAATGACCTACATTCTTAACCTTAAATGTTAGTATCTTTTTTTTTTTTTTTTTTTCAGAAGGAGTCTCCCTCTGTTGCCCAGGCTGGGGTGCAGTGGCGTGATCTCAGCTCACTGCAACCTCCGCCTCCTGGATTCAAGCGATTCTTCTGCCTTAGCCTCCTGAGTAGCTGGGATTACAGGCATGTACCGCCACGCCCGGCTAATTTTTGTATTTTTAGTAGAGACGGGGTTTCACCATGTTGGCCAGACTGGTCTCTAACTCCTACCCTCAGGTGATCTGCCCGCCTCGGCCCCCCAAAGTGTTAGGACTACAGGCCTGAGCCACCACGCCCTGCCCAAATGTTAGTATCTTGAAATAGTTATGCGTCATGCCAAAGAAATCTAGAAGACCTGAAACTCTTCAATCACAGAACAAACTTGTAACTTCGATGGCAGTTATCCTTAACAAGATTCCCTGCGGGCCCTCTCTGAAACGGAGGAGATGTGACATTATAGAACTGCAAAATCTTAGGATTCATCACCTAACTTTAATGCTGAAGCGTTTGGAGATCATTCGGACTAACCCTCATGTTTTACAGTTGAAGATAATGATACTGGAGAAGGACTCATCCCAAATCACCCGTCGGTGGCAGAGCCTGGACAAACCTATGTCTCCTCCCTTCACTCGTTTGGGGTTGTTGCTGGACTGCAGGGACTCGAAGTAAGTAGAGAGGGGTACAGGGCACTGGAAGAAGAGGTATTTTGCAGGAGTCTGTTTTTTCCTGCTCCCAAATCGGTGGGATGTCAGCGAAGGATGGGTCTCTGGAGGAGAGGAGCTAACAAGGTCTTCTGAAAACCATCACTGAGGGTGCTGTGGTTGGGAACTCGAAACCTTGCCAGTTAAAAACGTTTCTGCGAATGTGGTTTCTGAGGGCGAGGAAGCCCTCCCCCGCCCCAGCGCCGGCCCCGCCCGCCGGGTGCCCGACAGTAACCCCGAGGCGTGCGGCAGCCCCAGCTGTCTTCAACGTAGCCATCTGGAAGACAAAAACCAGAAAATGTGCGCCTTCTCATTTGAAACCTGGTCTTTAAGTCCGGCCCCTCCCCAGCAAGAATGGGAACATTTAGTTTGCACCCACGTGGCTCTTCCGCGGGCTCATGCTCCACTCGGAAGCCCGGAGCTCTGTCCGGAATAGGCCAGACAGAGCTCCCTTCCCATCTGCCTTTTGCAGGAAGAAGGGATGTGGGGCAATCGGCACAGCTGAATAGGGGCCAGCTGTGGGAAAAGGGAGAGCGTGACAACAGATGGGGGGAGGAAGGAACGAGGAGTAATGGGGCGTCAGGGCCAGGGTGGCAGCTCAGAGGGCCCAATGTCGCCCCGCCAGACCCAGAATTAGGGCACGTCTGCAAAGCTCACACCCTCCATTTGAGAGCCGAACCGAAACCATCACAAGATGAAACCTCCGGACTCCCAGCCGCGGCGGGCGGCGGGCAGCGGGCGGCGCGCAAGCGCGCGGGGCCCCGAGTCTGACCTCGAGTTACCCCGCGCGGCGAGTCGCAGCGAAGTAGGTGAAAGGTAACTAGCAGACGCTGCTCTGGGCGAAGGCTGCGGCGCGCGTGCGCGGGGCTGGGCCTTGGGTTCCGTTCTCCCCCAAGTTTCTCCAAGTCTGCACTTCGCCAAACTATGGGTGTGTCCTGGGCCAGTGCATGAAGCGATGGAGTGGGGACATCGAGCCGATTTGGAAAATTCCTGCCACCCACTCTCTGTGGAGAAACGAGGTCTAGACGCGGTGCAGGGGAGAGAACCACTTACTGAACGCCATGTGTGTGCGCGGCGGGCGTGGTGCTGGGCGCCCTTCTTTTGATTCTCACAACCCTTTGAAAGACCTCAAAATGACCCCTCATGGAAGAGGAAACTGAGGCCCTGTGAGTTCATTTAATTGGCCCACGGTCATCCAATCAGTTAAGGGCAATTTCCATGAAGGGTCCGTGCTTCAAAGTGGGTTTTTGGCCCTAAAACACACAAACGACACCTGTAGCACATTTGGCAAGGCACTCTCATAGGCATTACTCATTCCATCCTTATCAGAAACCTATGAGGTAGTAGGTGCTGTGACTATTTTCTTTTTGCAGATGGGGAAACTGAGACTCAAGGAAGTTGTTCTGGAATCCCACAGAGAATATCAGAGCTGAAATTTTCTGTCCTATTTTAGAGAGATAAAAAGCTGAAAGCTCAAAGTCACGTTCTCCCATCGCCAATCTGAAGACCTATGAGAGCTTCATGCTCTATGGGGTGAGTGGCCCAGGCCATGCTAAAGACAAAGAAGTTCTCATTATTGGAGGTCTCCTTTGAGGGTTTCCATTACAAAATTACAAAGTGATCAACCCTTCTAGAAGACAGTTGGGTTGTTCACTTATTAAGGGCAGGGACAGAGTGCACTGCTCACAGTTGCTGAATTTGGTGTTCGTTCGGTGAGCTTATAGCTGAATGAACTCATTTTCAATCCCAGATTATTCAAGGGGGAAGCTGCCTTTGTGTCAGGCAATGGGTGAAGTAGCTTGTTTGTGACTTTTCCCAGAGGAGGGTTCTTGCATTCACGCAGCAAACATACTTATCATGCACTCTGCGGTGTTTATATAGCTGGGAAACAGATGGGAACTTCAAAGGACAGGAATGCTTTGCTTCTCTTGAAAATTCTGCTCTGAGTATTTGTCTTAGTCTTCTCGTGCTGGGTACTTAAACAACAGACATTTATTTCTCATAATTCTGGATGCTGGAAGAACAAAATCAAGGTGCAGGCTGATTTGATTCCTGTTGAGGCCCCACTTTCTGGCTTGCAAACAGCCATCTTATCACTGTACGCTCTTAGAGACTTCTCTCTAGAGTCTCTTCTTATAAGGCATGAATCCCATCGTGGGGTCTCCACCCTTATGACCTCATCTAAACCAAATTACCTCCCAAAGGACCCACCTCCTAATCATCATACTGGAGGTTAGGCATTCAACCTATGAACTGGGTGGAAGGGAGCACAAAAATTCACTCATAACAATCCTAGATGTCTGGATGTTTGCCCATCTCCATGCATGGTAGAAGCCATGTAATCCCCCTACCCTGTCAGGGTTTCCTGTGACACAAGAAGTAGATCACCCAGGGAGGGGCACCGGAACGCAGTCATAACTCCTCCCACCCCACCAACCCCTTGGTGCCTCAGCTGCTCTTCAGAATCACAAAGGCCAGAAAACAGAAGCAGCTCTCCTCCTCTCCTAGGAGGCTTTGGAAACAGAGGGAGATGCAAATGGAAATTCCCCAAAAGGGAAATGCAAGGGAAGCAGAAAAAGCTGCAGCAAAGTGGGTCTGCCCCCGCTACCCTCATTTCTTTCCAAGAATCCCCTCCCTTGAGTGTGCCGTCAGAGAATTGGAATGTCACTGCCCTGTCCCCCAAGACTGTGTTGCTGCTCAGGCTGATAAAGACAAAGGCTGCAATTGGGCTCGCTTTGCCCGAATGTAACCCTGCCTTGAAGCCTTCCTGAGGTGACCAGGGGAGATCATGTGCTGCCTGATGCTGTCAAGATGCCTGTGTGAGCTGCCTGCCTGCTGGTGTTGGCAGGAAGAAGGCTGCTTGGTAACTTACATCAGCACCGCGTGGAGGGTTGAGAGCTTTGGCCATGCCGGGCCCTGTGCTGACACTTGTAGTTGAATTCCCTCCCATATGATCCTCCACAGCCCTATGCAGTAAGTGTGTGACCCCCGTTTTGGAGAGTATGAAACTGAGGCTCTGAGGAGGTAAGTGATTTCCCCACATCACCCAACCAGTAAAACGCATGGCTGAGACTCAGCTCCTTTCCTGCTCTAGGCATTTAAACCCAACACCCCAATAGGACAGGTTCTTGCAGCTGGCTGGGAAAATTGTCCCTAGGTTTCTTCCTTTCTTCCCTAATTATCCCAGAGAAATTTCAATAAAAATGTAGAACAAGGAAAATTCCAGGCCTTACACACAGTTAAATAATGAGTGACTTTATAGAGGAATGAATGAATGAAGGCAGAGAATGACGGTCGATAAAGTGCCTGGAATTGTGCCTGACACATAGTAAACACTCAATCACTATTTCCCAAATGGTTGAATAAAGGAATAAGAATATCAAAGTATATGGAAGGGAAGAATTTCAGTGTGAGATGCAAATATTTTAGGATAGCAATTTCCCTACCTTAAGCTCACAGATAAAGTTTATGGTCCTGTTGAAATTTGAAGTTCTTTTTTTTTTTTTTTTTGAGATGGAGTCTCGCTCTGTCGCCCAGGCTGGAGGGCAGTGGCACGATCTTGGCTCACTGCAACCTCCGCCTCCCAGGTTTAAGCAATTCTCCTGCCTTAGTCTCCTGAGTAGTTGGGATTACAAGTGTGCGCCACTACACCCAGATAATTTTTGTATTTTTTTAGTAGAGATGGGGTTTCACCACGTTGGTCAAGCTGGTCTTGAACTCCAGACCTCGTGTTCCTCCCACCTCGGCCTCCCAAAGTGCTGGGATTACAGGTGTGAGCCACGGTGCCCAGCCTGAAGTTCTTATTTTTAAATTATTGGTGAGAGATTTACTGACCCTAGTAGGTTATCAGTAAAAATACAGAAAGTGGATGCAGCAAAGCCCTGGTCCATCTGGTCCATGTCCCCTCCCTGTTGAGTTGCTTCTCTGGGTGTCTCGTATGTGATTTGTGCTGCTGGCTTTTATCATTAGGAAAGGCTTTCATTCCATTCAAAAAGAGCTACTGCTCTTTATGAAGCACTAAGTAGGTTAGTGCATAAGATATGGTCTTTGCTTCCTAGGTGAGGAAAACGTAAGTTCCGACGTTTGAGTCCCTGCCCTTGTTAAGGTGTATATTTCAACACATCACTTAATCTTAGCAATCCTCATTTTCCCCATATATAAAATGAGTGTGCCAGGCACAGTGGCTCATGCCTGTAATCCCAGCACTTTGGGAGGCCGAGGCGGGTGGATCACCTGAGGTCAGGAGTTTGAGAACAGCCTGGCCAACATGGTGAAACCCCATCTTTACTAAAATATAAAAATTAGGGCTGGGCACGGTGGCTCAGGCCTGTAATCCCAGCACTTTGGGAGGCCAAGGCAGGTGGATCACAAGGTTGGGAGTTCGAGACCAGCTTGGCCAATATGGTGAAACCCCATCTCTACTAAAAATACAAAAAATTAGCCAGGTGTGGTGGCACGTGCCTGTAGTCCCAGCTACTCAAGAGGCTGAGACAGGAGAATCACTTGAACCCGGGAGGTGGAGGTTGCAGTGAGCTGAGATCACACCAGCCTAGGAGACAGACTGAGACTCCGTCTCAAAAAAATAAACGACATATATATATGTGTGTGTATATATATGTGTGTATATATATGCATATATATGTTTGTATATATGTATATATGTGTGTATATATGTCTGTATATATGTATATATGTGTGTGTGTGTGTGTGTGTGTGTGTATATATATATATATATATATATATATATATATATAAGCTGGGCATGGTAGTAGGCACCTGTAATCCTAGCTACTTGGGAGGCTGAGGCAGGAGAATCGCTTGAACCCGGGAGGCGGAGGTAGCAGTGAGCAGAGATTGTGCCATTGCACTCCTGCCTGGGCGACAAGAGTGAGACTCAGTACCCCCACCACAAAAAAACAATCAATAAATAAAATGAGTGCATATATAAAATGAGTAATTTAAGGATAGCAAGGGAATTTAATAACATGATATGTAAAAAAGAGGCGAGGGTGGGAGAAAGGGGTTGATAAGTACCAAATGCTATTAATTTAATTTAATTTGAAGAGAATATGGGGAGTGTTTTCTCATCAGTCACGAAGCCTAGCCTCTCCAGGAAAAGGGAATGGAGAGCTATACATTTGAGATGTAAGAGGGATTCTGGGCTAGGGGGTTTCCAGGCAGCATCAAGAATGGGAGAGCAGAAAGTTTTACTGCCTGGGAGTAGTGTAGAAACTCAGCAAATATGTCTTGGGCCTTGCATCTGAGCTTTGGGCCTGTCTGCCTCTTCCTTTCTGAGATATGAATGTGTCCCTTGACTACAGTGGCTGCAGGAGGAAGGAGCATCCCAGAACAGCTTAATTCAGTGAGAAATCTGCTGTCTCACTGTGTCTCTGTCTTGCTTGGGTCCAGTCTGAATTCCCAGCAGCCAGAATTTATTGAGCCTTCGTTAGATGCTACCCCCTTAACATTCAGAGTGGGCCTCAAACAAATATAGAATTTGTAAGGATAGAATGATGTGAGGGTTTAAGAGTTCAGGGTTCAGTACAAAAAGAATAGAAAGAATGAAAAAGACCTAGTATTTGATAGCACAACAGTGACTATAGTCAAAATAATTGTACTTTGTTTTTTTTGTTTGTTTGTTTGTTTTTTTTTAAGGAGTCTCACTCTGTCATCCAGGCTGTAGTGCAGTGGCGTGATCTCAGCTCACTGCAATCTCTGCCTCTCGGGTTCAAGTGATTCTTCTGCCTCAGTCTCCCAAGTAGCTGGGATTAAAGGCACGTGCCACTACACCCTGCTAACTTTTTCTTTTTTTTTTTTTTTTTTTTTTTTGGATTTTTAGTAGAGACGGGGTTTCACCATATTGGCCAGGCTGATCTCGAACTCCTGACCTCATGATCTGCCTTCCTCGACCTCCCAAAGTGCTGGGATTACAGGTGTGAGCCACTGTACCTGGCCTTTTTTTTTTTTTTTTTTTTTTTGAGACCGAGTGTCACTCTGTCACCCAGGCTGGAGTGCAGTGACACAATCTCGGCTCACTGCAACCTCTACCTCCAGGTTCAAGTGATTCTCCTGCCTCAGCCTCCTGATTAGCTGGGACTACAGACACCTGCCACCATGACCAGCTAATTTTTTGTATTTTTAGTAGAGATGGGGTTTCACCATGTTGGCCAGGCTGTTTTCAAACTCCTGACCTCAGGTGATCCACCAGCCTCGGCCTCCCAAAGTGCTGAGATTACAGGCGTGAACCACCGTGCCTGGCCTTTAATTGTACATTTTAAAATAACTAAGGTAGTATAATTGGATTATTTGTAAGACAAATAATAAATGCTTGAGGAAATGGATACCCCATTTTCCATGATGCAGTAATTATGCATTGCATGTCTGTAGCAAAATCTCTCACGTATCCCATAAATATATACACCTACTATGTACCCACAGAAATTCAAAATTAAAAAAAAAAAGAGTAGAGGAACCTTGCATGCTGGGGAAGGAGAAATTCCCCCCAAAAGATGGCTTTTGGCTGAAATGCCAAGGATGGAGCCTATTTTGCTCAGGACAGAAGAAAACAAATGTGGGTTTATGCCTTTTAGCAAAAAAAAAAAAAAAAAAAAAAAAAAAAACAGAGTAGAATTCCACTTTGGCCATACCAAATATTTTCCTTGTTTTACCGAGAGACTTACAAGAGCTGGAAGAAAAGAAAACCCTAGGGGATGCCTCTTGGTTATGTTAGAAGGAAAGTGAGCAACTAAACCCTTGCTGCCTTGGGTTTGACTCACTGACCGGCTCTGTGGCCTTGGCTTGTCACCTCCCTCTATGCCTCTTTTTTTGTCTATAAAATAAAGATTCTCATACCTTACAGCATTGGTGTAGGGATCAGATAAGATGACAAAGGTAAAGTAGCCACCAAGATGCCAGGGACGTGAAAAATTCTAGAAAAATGGTAGCTTCTTTTTCTTTCCCCCATACTAAGTAAATGCCAGATCAGGGGTCAGAGCTCAATAAGGCTGAGCTCATTCATTTGCATTTAGCCACACAGCTTCTTTTAAAATTATAGGCCCAAGAAAGACTTCAGAGTCCCCTGCTAGACTCAGAAATGTCTGCTTTCTTCCATCTTATCCACAGAAAAACTGATGCAAGTGTTGGCTCCTTGGGAAAAAACCAACTCTATTAATTAAGCATAACCCCATTCTGTCTGAAGACTGTAATTACCCTTCTGTGTAGATGTCTTGCCTTGAGATTCCCCCTGTTCCCTGGGGTAACCTGTCTTAGCTGGCTTCCTTAGGGTGGAGATGCAGAAGGGCTGGGATCTTAAAACCTGTCCACAGAGAACAAGCTCTAGTCCCCCTGGAAAGTTGTTGAAAACAATTAGTGTGAACCCCGTTTCCTCCTTGAGCTTGGTGACAATTCCAAGGACAACCATACAGAGGAAAGCTAAGCCTCTAAGGCATTTCTCGAATAATCCAAAATGCTGAGGTCTCAAGGAAACACCCAAGTCTAACCCATACTAGTCTTTTTCCCTCTTCACACTTGAATTCATTGTAGTGAGTTTACAGAAAATTTTAATTCCCTAAGGGTTTTTGTTTTTTACAGAGTTAATTGTCATTGGGAAAAAGTGTCAGGGCTATTTTAAAAAAACAGTAAGTTTGACTCCAAGCTCAACACATCTCAATGATTTAATGTGCCTTTGGGGGAATCAGGAGGCAGTCATTGCAAGAGCTTAGAAGGAGAGCCAAGGGACGGGGACCTAAGCCCTGTTTCTACCGCTATCGAGATGGGCAGGCTGGGTACAGTGGCTCACGCCTGTAATCCCAGCACTTTGGGAGGCTGAAGCAGGCGGATCCCCTGATGTCAAGAATTCGAGACCAGCCTGGCCAACATGGCGAAACCCTGTATCTACTAAAAATACAAAAAAAAATAGCCAGGCCTGGTGGCATGCACCTGTAGTCCTAGCTACTTGGGAGGCTGAGGCAGGAGAATCACTTGAACCCAGGAGGCAGAGGCTGCAGGGAGCCGAGATCGTGCCACTGCACTCCAGCCTGGGCGATAGAGTGAAACTCCATCTTAAAAAAAAAAAAAAGAGAGATGGACAGCCTTTGCTAAATTGTTTTCCTTCTCTCAGCCTCAGTTTCACAACTACAAACTTAGAGGTTTAGTTATTCAATCTTTAGATTCCCCTTTAATTATCAGTCATCTCTAGTTTGGATTTGTAGTTATGCTAACTGCCTCCAAAGAAGGGAGAGTTTTGAAACTAGTAGCTGATATTTCAGAAGCTTCAAACAAGAAACATGGACATATATTAAAGTTCAAGCACAAACACCCACACACAATTGTAATCCAGGAACAAAGTCTAATTCAGTAAAATGTGTACTTGAGAACAGTATGAGTATTATTTCATTCTTTGCCAACAGTTAAACTAAATTAAGTTAGATTTAAACTTTTTTTTTTTTTTTTTTTTGAGACAAAGTCTCACTTGGTTGCTTAGGCTGGAGTGCAGTGGTGGGATCATGGCTCACCGCAGCTTCGACTTCGCTCAGGCGATCCTCCCACCTCAACTTCCCGAGCGAGTAGCTGGGATTACAGGCATGCACCACCATGCCTGGCTAATTTTTGCATTTTTTTAGAGATTGGGTTTCCAGGCAGGTCTCAAACTCCTAGGCTCAAGAGATCTGCCCACCTTGGCCTCCCAAAGCGTAATAGGATTACAGGCATGAGCCACCACGCCCAGCCCAAATTTAACCTTTTTTTTTATTCGATTTATTCTGCTATGTCTTGAGTATGTTTTTTAAAGGAAGCGCAAACATTTGGTTCAGATAATATTGTGCCAACTTTTATTAATTAGGAGAAACAACAAATTTGTCTGTTTACCTTTCAGCACATGTATGTATTTAGATAAGGAATGAGGACCTTTGAAGTCAATAGCTAGGGAGAACAATGAGTACATTTATGAATTAACCTTTTTTTTATATGAATAAAACTAGGAAATGGTTGCCTTGGTGTAGTGGACACTGTTGGGTGTCCTGTCTGGATTTCCTGCAGTCCAAGCACCCGTCTGTCCTCTAGCTGCTTTGAGTGGTCGCTGCTCATGGCTCACAATGGCTCACTTTTCCAGAAATTGCCCTCTGTCGAATGGAAACTGACTCTCCTAGAGGTTATATTCTCCACACCTCAGCTTGCAGCAAAAACTGACTGATATGGAGTTAAAATATCTGGCATCTCATCTCAGGGTGGAACAAACTCTGCATGTGATTTAGGCTCCAGAAACCCTTTGGGTCAGGCCAACACTGGGCTTTATCTGAAGCACTATCTTTGCTTGACTCCTGGACCTTCCCTGTCCTGCTGCCCTCAGCCTCTTAAAGGTTTCTTTGGTGAATAATCTGTCAACAGATACACCCAAATCCCTGTCTCAGGCTCTGCTTCTAGACCTAAGATCAAACTTGACCTCACTCAAGAATGGTCTGTTATTATTATTATTACTATTATTTTTGAGACAGAGTCTTGCTCTGTTGCCCAGGCTGGAGTACAGTGGGGCAATCTCGGCTCACTGCAAACTCCACCTCCCGGGTTCAAGTGATTCTCCTGTCTCAGCCTCCCGAGTAGCTGGGACTACAGTCGCACTCCCCGACACCCGGCTAATTTTTGTATTTTTAGTAGAAACGGGGTTTCACTATATTAGTCAGACTGGTCTCGAACTCCTGACCGCAGGTGATCCACCCCCGTCAGCCTTCCAAAGTGCTGGGATTATAGGTGTGAGTCACCACGCCCAGCCTAGAATGGTCTGTTATTATAAGTAGCCAGTAATGAAAACTACATTTGCATTTCTTTATTCATTTATTCAATCAATATTTATTGAATTGCAAACTGTGAATTTCAGTACAGTAGGTGTTGAAATACTTACTGTTTCAGAGACTTGGAGAAACTTGCAATGGAAAAGACAGACATTGCCTCTGCAATAAACAATGATAAATGCTGTTTATTTTATAATGGGAAGACACATAATGATAAATAAAAATAATAATATTTAACAAAAATGAATAAGGCATTTAGGATTAATATCCCACCCCCCACAAGAGGAGTCTTGCTCTGACGCCCAGGCTGGAGTTCAGTGGCACAATCTCGGCTCACTGCAACCTCCACCTCCCGGGTTCAAGCAATTCTCCTGCCTCAGCCTCCTGGGTAGCTGGGATTACAGGCACCCACCACCACGCCTGGCTAATTTTTGTATTTTTGGTAGAGATGGGGGTTTCGCCATGTTGGCCAGGCTGGTCTCAAACTCCTGACCTCGAGATCCACATGCTTCGGCCTCCCAAAGTGCTGGGATTACAGTCGTGAGCCACTACGCCTGGCCTAGGATTAATTTTTTTAAACTGTGTTCCTGGATCATGTGCCATGATTATTAAGTAAACTTTTAAAATTTGAGTATTTTTTTTTCTAGATAAGCTTTTGGCCCAGTGATTCTATACGAAGGAATTTACTGTATAGATGTACCCATACCAGTGCATAAAGACATATCTAAAAGGCTGGATTTTTTGTTTGTTTTGTTTGTTTGTTTGTTTTTTGAGACGGAGTCTTGTTCTGTCACCCAGGCTGGAGTGCAGTGGCACGATCTTGGCTCACTACAACCTCTGCCTTCCGGGTTCAACCGATTCTCCTGTCTCAGCCTCCCAAGTAGCTGGGATTACAGGCATTCACCACCATGTCTGGCTAATTTTTGTATTTTTAGTAGAGATGGGGTTTCACCATCTTGGCCAGGCTGGTCTTGAACTCCTGACCTCAGGTGATCTACCCACCTCGGCCTACCAAACTGCTGGGGTTATAGGCATGAGCCACTGCACCCGGCACAACGCTGTTTTTTGTAGAATTGTTTGTAGCAAAAGTTAGGAAACAGCTTAAATGTCCATCAATACAGGACTGATTAAACAAATTATGTTCCATTCATACTAGGGAATCGTATGCAGCCATTAAAAATAATGAGGTAGGTGGGGTACAGTGGCTTATGCCTGTAATTCCAGCACTTTTAGAGACTGAGGCAGGAGGATCACTTGAGCCCAGGATATCGAGGCTGCAGTAAGCTGTGATTGTGCCAGCCTCGGCAGCAGAGTGATATCCTCTCTCAAAATAATAAATAATAATAGTAATAATAATAATGAGGTAGCTGTATATTTGCTAATGTGGAATGATCTCCAAGATATACTGATAAGTGAAAAAAAAAAAGTGAAGTATAAGACTGTCTGTAATACTCTTCATTTGTGATGGAATGAATGTGAATACACAAACACATACAAATAACTCCTATATCATAGAATATCTGGAAGGATACACAAGAAATTGTTAATAGTGTTGTTTCTGTAAAGAGGTACGAGATGTCTGGATTACTGTTCATCCCATACTGAATTTTGTAAACACACACCTGTAGTATTTAATAAAACTAGTTGATTTTAAAGGTATTATATACTTAGTTTAGAAACCATATAACATACAGTATAATAAAAATCACTCATAATCCCATAATCCCGGCTGGGTGCGGTGGCTCACGCTGTAATCCCAGCACTTTGGGAGGCTGAGGCAGGCGGATCACAAGGTCATGAGATTGAGACCATCCTGGCCAACATAGTGAAACCCCATCTCTACTAGAAATGCAAAAATTAGCCAGACATGGTGGTGTGTGCCTGTAATCCCAGCTACTCTGGAGGCTGAGGCAGGAGAATCACTTGAACCCAGGAGGTGGAGGTTGCAGTGACCTGAGATTGCGCCACTGCACTACAGCCTGGGTGACAGAGTAAGACTCTGTCTCAAAAATAATAATAATAATAAATCCCATAATCCCACCTCTAAAATGTACCATTATTGTAGCGTATTTCTTTTCTGTCTTCCTTCTCTTTGAAGACATAACATTTTCTTACAGGCCAGGCGTGGTGGCTCAAGCCTGTAATCCCAGCACTTTGGGAGGCCAAGGCGGGCAGATCACCTGAGGTCAGGAGTTCAAGACCAGCCTGGTCAACATGGTGAAAAAACTGCCTCTCTACTAAAAAATACAAAAATCAGCCAGGCATGGTGGCAGGTGCCTGTAATCCCAGGTACTCAGGAGGCTGAGGCAGGGAGAATTGCTTGAACCTGGGAAGTGGAGGTTGCAGTGAGCTGCCTTTAGGCCACTGTACTCCAACCTGGGCGACAGAGCGAGACTCTGTCTCAAAAAAAAAAATTTTCTTACAAACAGGTTCATAATGTGCATGTATAGATTTGTATTCTGATGTGTTGACTCATATAATAAGTATTTTCTTACATTAATGAACTTCTTCCTTCCTTTCTCTTTCTTTCTTTCTCTCTCCTTTCCTTCTTTTTGAAGGAGTCTCTCTCTGTCACCCAGGCTGGAGTGCAGTGGTACAATCTCGGCTAACTGCAACCTCTACCTCCCGGGTTTAAGCAATTCTCCTGCCTCAGCCTCCTGAGTAGCTGGGATTATAGGTGCACGCCACCACACCCAGCTAATTTTTGTACGTTTAGTAGAGACAGGGTTTCACCATGTTGGTTGGCCAGGCTGGTCTTGAACTCCTGACTTCAGGTGATCTGCCTGCCTTGGCCTCCCAAAGTGCTGGGATTACAGGCGTGAGCCACCGCCCCAGACTTTTTCTTTCTCTTTTCTTTCTCTGTCTCTCTCTGTCACACAGGCTGGAGTGCAGTGATGCAATCGTGGCTCGTGCAGCGTCCACTTCCTGGGCTCAAGGGATCCTCTCATCAGCCTCCCTGGGGTGGGACTATAGGCAGGCACCACCATGCTTGCCTAATTTTTTTGTTTTTTTCTGAGGCAGAGTCTTGCTCTGTTGCCCAGACTGGAGTACAGTGGCGCGATCTCAGTTCACTGTAACCTCAGCCTCCAGGGCTCGAGTGATTCTCCTGCCTCAACCTTCCAAGTACCTGGGATTACAGGCGCCCGCCACCATGCCTGGCTAATTTTTGTATTTTTAGTAGAGATGGGGTTTCACCATGTTGCCCAGGCTGGTCTCGAACTCCTGACCTCAGGTGATGCGCCCACCTCAGCCTCCCAAAGTGCTAGAATTACAGTTGTGAGCCACCGTGCCCGGCTGCTTGCCTAATTTTTTAAGGCTTTTGTACAGATGAGGTCTCACTATATTGCCCAGGGCTCGTTTCAAACTCCTGGGCTCAAGTGGTCCTCCTACCTCGGCTTCCCAAAGTGTTGGGATTACAGGCGTGAGCCACTACGCCCCACCAACATTTAAAAAATACGTATCATTTGTAACAACTGTTTAGTTTTCCATTGTATAAACATACAATAATTTTTAAATCAGTTTCCTGTTGATGGCCATTGAGATTGTTTTCTATTTTTTGCTATTGTATAATATTGTACAACACTGTGCATATCTCTTTATCTGTGTGTCTCTAATTGTTCCCTTAAACAGATTTCTAGATATGGATTTACTGGTCAAAGAAAATGCAAATTTTTAAAACTTAGAATAATATAATTGTCCTCTCCACAATTTGCAACAGTTTATGGTCCCACCAGCAATATAAATGAGTATTAGTGAGCCCTCAAACCATCACTGAGTACAATAGACTCTTGGAACTTCCCAGAAGGTTCCTAACATGTAGTAACTGGTAACTGGTTGAGACAGGAGTGGGAAACTGTCACGACTGATGTGAGGCGATCACTTAGCACTCTATGAGTCTAGCTGAAGTCTCAGAGTCTCCATTTGGTGAAGGAGCTCTGAGCAGAGCCTTGCTGACTTTACCCTGCGGTGTGGCTGCATCTCAGTACTGCCTCCATCCATCAGCGCATTACTGGGCAGCAGCAGTCATCGACACCCATCATCATCCCTGAATTTTTGTACATTCAGGTAAGCTCGTGATTCACTTTATTTCAGTAGTGATGTCATAATATAGTGTCAAGTTTATTTCTGTAGCAGAATTTATTTTAAAAGCCTTGTTAAGTTAGTTTAGTCTAGTAGTTATAGGTTTATTAAGGGTTTAATGAAGTTACTTCAATGTCTCAGTCATTCCTTAACGCATTTTCTGGGGAAAGTTGTATGCTACAGTGATGTTTGACAATTGGAATTTCCAAATTCTGGAGACATCCCTTACAGGTGTCAAAAATCTTCTGTTATTCCAAATGAAATGGAATTTCAATACCTGATTGCTTTCAGTGGGCATAGAATCTATGGCAATGAGTAAGTGCTTCTAATGTCCCCTTTCTGTCTGTTTCACACCCCATGATCCAGGGGCATCTGTGACCTTTATGGACAAATCTCTAATTAGCCTAATAAATGCACAATCTCACAGTCTGGAAGTTTCAGGTTCTACTTCCAGGTCCAGTCCTGACTAGCTGGGTGTCTTCAGGATACTCACCCCTATGGGTTTCAAGTTCCTCATCTTTAAAAGAGAAGTTTATTCTCAAATAGTGATTCCCAGACTGGGATCCTAGAATATCACTGGAGTCTTAAGGGTAGTAATGGGTATTCATAAGCTAAACTATTTCTAATATTTTAGAAACTCTCATGGAAATGTACACTTATCCTATATTGGTTTGGTAGGATAATAACGGAGGCACTTTTCTTTGTTTGGGCTGTGATAATGCAGGACTCCTCACAACTCTATGGGGTATATACTGTTGTTATCACTGATCTACAGATAAGGAAATTGAGGCACAGAGAGTTATGGAATTTGCTCAAGGTTGTACAGCTAGTTGGTGTTGGAGGGAAGATTTAAACTCAGGTAATTTGACTGAAGAATCAATAGCCACGTTACCTACTGCTAATTCTAATTACTTCATGATAATCGGAAGCTCTGATTGGCAGTAATATGTCTTTAAAAAAAGAAAATAAAATATTATTATAATAATTAATAATTAAATACAGTTTGTTTGATAGGCAAAAGTCTTCCAGAACTTTCAGCCCATAGAAAGGAAACACTTTCAAAAGTTATGAAAAGAATGGAAATGTTTGACTAGCATTGGGTTAGATAATACCCAAGTTCTCTCCTAGTTCTAATATTCTGTAAGATTCAGGAGGAAATATGGGTATGAAAGAAAAATAACTCCATGAAATATTACCCAGAGTGGTGCATTTATGTTCTAAGAGTAATAATGAAAACACTATTTCTTTGTTAAATGGTACGAACAAGTTTAATCTTAAAAACTCAATCAAATGAGATTCAGTAGACTTGACTATTATGAAATTTTTAAGTCAAAAGCAAGAGGGCCTGGCCAGGAGCGGTGGCTCACACCTGTAATCCCAGTACTTTGGGAGGCCGAGGTGGGCAGATCGCTTGAGGTCAGGAGTTCGAGACCAGCCTGGCCAACATGGTGGAACCTCATCTCTACTAAAAATACAAAAAATTAGCCAGGCATGGTGGCATGTGCCTATAGTCCCACGTACTTGGGAGGCTGAGGCAGGAGAATCACTTGGACTCAGGAGGCGGAGGTTGCAGTGAGCCGAGATCATGCCAAAAAGAAAAAAAAAATGCATTAGAAATGCATTTTCATGGTTGACTTTTAACATATTAACATTGTGCTGGGGAATAATCTTACATAATACCTGTGAACACACCAGAACTACTTTATAAACATCCTCTTTGTTCCCTATAGCAATCTGCATGTTTGGTGACCAGGGTAAGTATAGTCCATGTGGACTACTTAATAGTAGGAAAGAAAAAAATAAAGACAAAGGTAAGGTCTGTCTTAGCTCTCTAGCTAGCATAGTGCTGGCACGTGGTAGAAGCTTAGGAAACATTTGTCAAATGGATGAAAAATTCACCAAGGTGTTACTGGTCCCTGGCAAAATTTCTACTCAGTTGCCGTATATCCATAATGCAAGTTTAATACCATGTAATGCCCCCCAATGCAATTCATCTTCAATAGCCATGCATGATAGTACAATTTAATAGCTGCTAAAGTGAGACAAGATTTTTAAACCTCCGCATTCATAGAAACTGTGATCCTATCATAGTATTCCAATTTTACTTCCTCTTCTCATCAGCTCTAATAATCCTTGTCTTGCTCAGAGTTTGCATTGTATTTTGCACATATATAATGATTCAGATTCTTATACTGACATTCTCAGGGAAATAGAAAGGCCCAGATTTGAAGTCATGTCATGGATTAATGTTTTTTCACTCTCTTTTATCCAGAGGTAGGTGAATGACTTCTGGTAACCCTACTGATTTTAACATAGGGAACAGCCCCAACCTCCAATTCATTGTGCAATGGGGAAGTGGTTTGCTGAGTGGGTCTACACAGAAAAAGCAATAACTGTATTGTGCGTTATATATGTGAGTCATATCCCTTGCTCCTTGCTCAAGAAGAATTATATCAGAAACAAATGATGGAATGCCTGGGCCAGGCACTGCCGGGGCTTCTGAGATGAATAAGAGGCAGTTCCAGCAATCATATGACTTGGGGGCTGTGTGAGGCTGGGGAGGGTAAATTAAAAAGAAAAGAAAAAACAAAAAACACTCACCAGTAACTATGATTCAAGGCAGAATGTGGTCAGACCACTCTTAGTTCTCACCAGAGGGAAAAATTATTTCCAGCTAGAGGATCAAGAAATGTCATGAGAGAAGGGTCGTGAGGACTGGAATTCCCACTTTCCATGAGCATTTATTGACTGAGTTCTGCTGCTCTCCAGTCTCTGTGCCAGGCACTGCAGATTCAGAGGTGAAAGTGGCACATTTGTGCTCATCGAAAAGCTCCCAGTCTAACCAGGAAAGAGAAACTCATAAAAAGAAAAATCTTAACCCTCCTTGGCAAATACTCTTTTAGGAAAAAGAAGAAAAAGTCACTGGAGCACAGCTGGTTCTGCCTGGGGAGCCTGTGAAGATTTCACCAAAAAAAGTGTAAATAAGAATTTGTAAGAGATTTGGCATTTGACCATCCACAGTGCAGCAGGTGCTGTGCTTGGGGCCTTAGGTGCATTATCTCCTTGATTCTTACAGGAACCCCGTGAGGCACTTATTATTTTTCCCAATCCACGAATGGGAAAACTACAGCTCAGAGTTTCAATAACTTGCAAGTTGCCTAAAGTCATATAGCCAGTAAGTGGAGATGCAATAGGATTGAACTCTAGGTTCTATTGGCTATCTCCAATTGCCCGGAAAAAGAGGGAAGAAGGCTAGAAGAAGAAAGAAATTTGTTCTAAGACCTTGATCACAGGCCATGGAAACAGGACATCAAAGCTCTGTTTGGGATAACATATAGTATAGGTTTCCTAGTGTGCAACTGCCTAGTAGTTCAGAATATAGCTGTATAACTATATGTTTGTATATACATATGCCAGTGTATATATCATATACCACTATATGTATACTATTATATACTAGTATATACATACACGTATACACTATTTTTATGCTATATATGTGGTATAGATACAATTATATACCAATCTTCTTGAGACTGGAGGTTTATTTCCAAAGTTTTGCCTTTATTTATTTATTTATTTGAGACAGAGTCACACTCTGTGGCCCAGGCTGGAGTCCAGTGGCACGATCTTGGCTTACTGCAACCTCCATCTCCCGGGTTCAAGCGATTCTTCTGCCTCAGCCTCCTGAGTAGCTGGGACTACAGGTGCCTGCCACCATGCCTCGCCAATTTTTGTATTTTTCATAGAGACGAGGTTTCACCATGTTGGCCAGGCTGGTCTCAAACTCCTGACCTCAAGTGATCTGCGTGCCTCGGCCTCCCAAAGTGCTGGGATTACAGGCGTGAGCCACCATGCCCGGCCCAAGTTTTGCCATTTAAAGCAGCTAACACCACTAACAGAAAAAAAGAGATAGTAAGTGATTGGGAAGAGGAGAGTGACTGTTTTAGATTAGTGATAAATAAAGACCTCCCATTGAAGAAGTAGATGGGCATTTATAGTCATCGGGTTTTATTCTAAGTGTGGTAGGAAGACAGAACATTTTGAAAATATAAATGAGAAGTTTTAACATAACTCCTAAAACTTAAATGGAGGCTTAGCCACTAATTATATTTTACTGCATTTATCTCTAGTATTTTTTCCTATGTATATAAAGAGGTAAATAGAGTTTTTTAATGCTTTACTCTTTTAAATTAATGATTATACTGTACAGGAATTTGAATCCTATTTTTATAACTTCTTATTTTGATATGGTTTCAAATGTTTCCTCCAGAAAAGTTGCAAGAAAAGTTCAAAGAACTCTCATATACATTTTACCCTATACATTGTGCTTCATTTCATTTGTTTTATCATTAGATGTGTATTTATATTTATGCACATTATTTTGTATGAATCATTTGAGAGTAAATTGAAGACATCAATGTGTATTCCCTAAGAATAAGGGCATTCATTCTATTATGTAACCACAGTACAACTATCAAAATCAGGTAATTTAACATTGCTGCAAGTCACAGTTCACAATCTATATTCAAATTTAATCAGTTGCATCAATGTCCTTTATAGCTTGTTTTTTCTTGGTTTAAGATCAAATCTTAGGATAACACATTGCATTTAATTCTTATATCTTTTTAATCTCCTTTAATTTGGAAAAATTGCTCACCCTTTTGTGTGTGTGTGTGTGTTTCTTGACCTTGACATTTTTTGGGGCTTTTATTTTAAATTCAGGGAATACATGTGCTGGTTTGTTGCCTGGGTACAGTGCGTGATGCTGAAGTTTGGGATATAAATGATCCCATCACCCAGGTACTGAGCATATTACCCAACAGTTAGTTTCTCAACTTTTACCTGCTCCCTCTCACCCCCTCTAGTACTCCCCAGTGTCCATTATTCCCATCTTTATATCCATGATTACCCAGTGTTTAGCTCCCACTTATAAGTGAGAACATGCAGTATTTGGTTTTCTGTTCCTGCATAAATTCCTTTAGGATAATGGCCTCCAGTTGCATCCATGATGCTACAAAGGACATGATTTTGTTCTTTTTTATATGGCTGTGTAGTTTTCCGTGGTATATATGTAGCACATTTTCTTTATCCAATCCACCACTGATGGGCGCCTATGTTGATTCCATGTCTTTGCTACTGTAAATAGCATTGCAATGAACATACGAGTGCATGTGTCTGTTTGGTAGAATGATTTGTTATCTTTTGGATATATACCCAATAATGGGATTCCTGGGTCAAATGGTAGTTCTGTTTTCAGTTAGCTGAGAAAACTCCAAACTGCTTTCCACAGTGGCTGAACTAATTTACATTCCCACCAGCAGTGTAAAAGCGTTCCTTTTTCTCCCCAATCTCGTCAGCATCTGTTATTTTTTGACTTTGTAATAATAGCCATTCTGACTCGTGTGAGGTGGTATCTACTGTGGTTTTTATTTGCATTTCTCTGATGATTAGTGATGTTGAGCATTTTCTCATATGTTTGTTGGCCACTTGTATGTCTTCTTTTGAGAAGTATCTTTTCATGTCTTTTATCCATGTTTCAATGGGGTTATTTGTTTTTTGCTTGTTCAATTGGTTAAGTTCTTAATAGATTCTGGATATTAGACTTGTTGGATGCATAATTTGTGAATATTGTCTCCCATTCTGTAGGTTGTATGTTTACTCTGTTGATAGTTTCTTTTGCTGTGCAGAAGCTCGTTAGTTTAATTAGGTCCCACCTGTCAATTTTTGTGTTTGTTGCAATTGCATTTGAGGACATTGTCAAAAATTCTTCCCCAAGGCTGGTGTCCAGAATGGTGTTTGCTAGATCTGCTTTTTTTTGAGACAGAGTTTCACTCTTTTTGCCCAGGCTGGAGTGCTGTGGTACGATCTCGGCTCACTGTAACCTCCACCTCCCGGGTTCAAGCGATTCTCCTGCCTCAGCCTCCCAAGTAGTTGGGATTACAGGCGCCCGCCACCAGGCGTGGCTGATTTTTTTTGTATCTTTAGTAGAGACGGGGTTTCACCATGTTGACCAGGCTGGTCTTAAACTTCTGACCTCAGGTGATCCACCAACCTTGGCCTTCCAAAGTGCTGGGATTACAGGTGTGAGCCACCGTGCCCAGCCTCCTAGATTTTCTTCTAGGATTCTTATAGTTTGAGGTCTTACATTTAAATCTTCAATCTGTCTTGAGTTAATTTTTGTGTATGGTGAAAGGTAGGGGTCCAATTTCATTCTTCTGCATATGGCTCACCAGCTATCCCAGCACCATTTATTGAATAGGGAGTTCTTTCCTTATTGCATATTTTTGTCAATTTTGTCAAAGATCAGATGGTTGTAGGTGTATGGCTTTATTTTGGTGTTATCTATTCTGTTCCATTGGTCTATGTGTCTGTTTTTGTACCAGTACCCCATGCTGTTTTGGTTACTGTAGCCTTATAGTATAGCTTGAACTCGGGTAACATGATGACTCTGGCTTTGTTCTTTTTGCTTAAGATTGCTTTGGCTATTCGAGCTCTTTTTTGGTTCCATATGAATTTTAAGATAGTTTTTTTCAATTCTGTGAAAAATGGCATTGGTTGTTTAATAGGAATAGTGTTGAATCTGTAGATTGCTTTGGGCAGTTTGGCCATTTTAATGATGCTAATTCTTCTGATCCATGAGCATGGACTGTTTTTCCATCATTTTTGTCATCTATGATTTCTTTTAGCAGTGTTTTGTAGTTCTCCTTGGTTAGATGTATTCGTAAGCATGTTTTTGTGTGTGGCTATTGTAAATGGGATCATATTCTTGATTTGGCTCTCAACTTCAGTGCTACCGATTTTTGTACATTGATTTTGTATTCTGAAAGGTTGCTAAAATTGTTCTGTCAATTCTAATAGACTTTTGGTTTTCTAAGTATAGAATTATGTCTTCAGTGAAGAGAGATGATTTTAATTCTTCTTTTCCTATTTAAATGCCTTGTGGCCAGGCACGGTGGCTCATGCCTGTAATCCCAGCACTTTGGGAGGCCAAGGCGGGCAGATCACCTGAGGTCAGGAGTTCAAGACCAGCCTGGCAAACATGGTGAAACCCCGTTTCTACTAAAAATACAAAAAATTAGCCAGGCATGGTGGCAGGTGTCTGTAGTCCCAGCTACTTGGGAGGCTGAGGCAGGAGAATCGCTTGAACCGGGAGGCGGAGGTTGCAGTGAGCAACATGGTGCCATTGCACTCCAGCTCGGGCAACAAAAGCGAAACTCCATCTCAAAAAAAAAAAAAAAAGCCTTTTGTTTCTTTCTCTTGCCTGATTCCTCTGGCTAGCACTTCCAGTACTATGTTGAATAGGAGTGGTGAGAGTGGGTATCCTTGTCTTGTTCTAGTTCTCAAGGGGAATGGTTTCAGCTTTTGCCCATTCAATATGATATTGGCTGTGGGTTTGTCATGGATGGCTTATTATTTTGAAGTATGTTCCTTTGATGCCTATTTTCTTGAGGGTTTTTATCATGAAGGATTTTATTGAAAGCCTTTTCTGCATCTATTGAGATGATCATATGGTTTTGTTTTTACACTTGATCTTAGCCAAAAGGCCAAGAAATGATACAGTTTTTGTTTTTAAACCTGTTTATGTGGTGAATCACATTTATTGATTTGCATATGTTGAACCAGCCTTGTAACTCAGGGATGAATTATGGTGAATTAACTTTTGATGTGCTGGTGAATTTGGTTTGCTAGAATTTTGTTAAGGATGTTTGCATCTGTGTTCATCAGGGATTTTGGCCATTAGTTTTCTTTTTTTGTTGTGTCTTTGCCAGGTTTTGGTATCAGGGTGATGCTGGCTCGTAGAATGAATTAAGGAGGAGTCCCTATGCCTTGATTTTTTGGAATAGTTTCAGTAGAATTGGTACTAGCTTTTCTTTTTTTTTTTTTTTTGAGACAGAGTCTTGCTCTGTCGCCAGGCTTGAGTGCAGTGGCACGATCTTGGCTCACTGGAGCCTCCACCTCCTGGGTTCAAGTGATTCTTCTGCCTCAGACTCCCGAGTAGCTGGGACTACAGGTGCCCCGCTGCCACGCCCAGCTAATTTTTTTGCATTTTTAGTAGAAACGGGGTTTCACCATGTTGGCCAGGATGGTCTTGATCTCCTGACCTCATGATCCACCTGCCTCAGCCTCCCAAAGTGTTGGGATTACAGGCGTGAGCCACCGTGCCCAGCCTGGTACTAGCTTTTCTTTGTATGTCTGGTAGAATTTGGCTGTGAATGCATCTGGTCCAAGGCTTTTTTGGGTTGGGTAGGCTTTTTATTACTAATTCAATTCCAGAACTTGATACTGGTCTATTCAGTGTTTCCATTTCTTCCTGATTCAATCATGGGATGTTATATGTTTCCAGGAATTTATCTATTTCCTCTGGATTTTCTAGTTTGTGCACATAGAGGTGTTCATAAGAGTCTCTGAGGATCTTTTGTATTTCTGTAGGATCAGTTGTAATGTCATCTTTGTCGTTTCTAATTTTGCTTATTTGGATCTTCTCTCTCTTTTTTCTTTGTTAAACTAGTTAACAGTCTGTTGATCTTGTTTATCCTTTCAAAAAACAAACTTTTGGTTTCATTAATTCTTATACAATGAATTATACAAAATGCATACAGGATTTTTCGGTCTCAATTTTCTTCAGTTCAGCTCTGATTTTAGTTATTTCTTTTGTTCTTGTAGCTTTGGGGTTAATTTGTTCTTGTTTTTCTAGTTCCTCTAGGTGTGATGTTAGACTGTTAATTTGAGATCTTTCTAACTTTTAGAGATGGGTAGGCTTTCAGCACTATAAACTTTCCTCTTAACACTGCTTTTGCTGCATCCTAGAGATGTTGGTATGTAGTATCTCTGTTTTTTTTTTTTATTATTTTTTTTGAGACAGAGTCTCACACTGTTGGCCAGGCTGGAGTACAATGGTGCAACCTCGGCTCACTGCAACCCCGCCTCCCGGGCTCAAGCAATTCTCCTGCCTCAGCCTCCCGAGTAGCTGGGATTACAGACGCCCACCACCACGCCTGCCTAATTTTTTCTATTTTTAGTAGAGATGGGGTTTCACTATGTTGACCAGGCTGGTCTCAAACTCCTGACCTCGTGATCCACCTGCCTCGGCCTCCCAGAGTGCTGGGATTACAGGCATGAGCCACCGTGCCCGGTCTTATTTTCATTTCTTTCAAAATATTTTTTTTTATTTTTCCCTTGATTTTGTTGTTTACTCAAGTTATTCTGGAGCAAATTGTTTAATTTACATGTAATCATATGGTTTTGAGAGAACTTCTTGGTATTGACTTCTGTTTTTGTTCCACTGTGGTCTGAGAATGTGCTTGGTATAATTTCAGTTCTTTTGAGTTTATTGAGACTTGCTTTATGGCCAAGCATGTAGTCAATCCTGGAATATGTTCCATGTGCAGATAAGAATGTATATCCTGTGGTTGATGGGTAGAGTATTCTATAGGTGTCTATTAGGTCCAAGTGATCAAGTGTTGAGTTTAAGTGCAAACTTTGTTAGCTTTCTGCCTTGATGATCTGTTTAATGCTGTCAGTGGCAGGTTGAAAATCCCCACTATTATTGTGTGGCTAAATCTTTTTGTAGGTCTGGAAATATTTATTTTATGAATCTGGAGGCTCCAATGTTGGGTGCATATATATTTAGGATGGTTTACTCTTCTTGTTGAAGCCTTGACATTTTTGAAGAGTGCAAGCCAGTTATTTTGTACAATGTCCCTTGATTGGAATTTGTCTGATTAGATTTAGACTTTATCTTTTTGGCAGGAATCTCACCAAAGTAATGCTGTATCCTTATCAGTACATCCCATCAGGAGAAAAATGATATTGGTTTTTTAAAGTTGATCACTTGGTTAAAATGTAGTCTGTCACTTTTCTCCATTCTAATATTACTATTTTTCCCTTTAAAATTAATATGTGATGTATGAGGAGATACTTTGAGACTATGTAAATAACTATTCCTCATTAATCTTCATCTGCTAGTTTAGCAACCATTAATTATTTTCTATATCCATCATTCCATCTATATTTGTCAGTTGGCATCCTACTGAAAGAGCTCTCCTCCTTTTTCATTTTTTATTTATTTACTCATGAATTCATTTATTGATATCAGTATGGTCTCATAGGTTTTATCTAATGTGTTATCATCCATTACTATCATCATTTATTTTGTCACACAAATTATCTCATATTTGGCCAGTGGTCTTTGAGTTATCTCCTATGTCTTTTTGATATGTTCCCTTTTTTCTTTAAGAAATGCCTTACTTTCTGGTGTAAGATGATCTATGTTCATCTTGTGCTTCCCTGACCTAGCCCTGGAATCAGCTATTTCTCTAACAAGCCTTGGTTTTTTTAATTGGAGAATGGTATTTAGAAACCAAGTTCTGGGTGGCAGGTGTGCTCATTGTTACTACTTAGTTATTTCTTTTAGGCTCTCCTAGCTGACAGAGCTAGGAAATCTCTCTCTCTCTCTTTGTCTATATATTTATGCTATTTCTATATTCATTTCTCTACACATCATATAATATGTTATATATATATAAAAGCCATGAATTCAAATGATACCTCCAGTTGCAATCCAACACTTTGGAGTACACTCTAGACTTCCACTATTCACACATGTAACTCTCTTCTTTAACAGTGAAAAAACTGGTTCCCATTATCCTCAGTTCACCTACTCATTGTTTAAGCCTAGTATACACAGTAGTTTCAGAATTGCTAACTCACCTCTACAAAAAGCAAATATCTTGACTAAAGCTCAATATTTGTTTGTAGTTCATTTGTATATATATTTAGTGTGTGGCATATAGACAGTAAAATGCATAAATCTTACATATACAATGTGATGAGTCTGACAGCTCCTATATCCTATTTTTGACCCAATATGAGCAATTTCTCATGTCATAAAAATATAAATTTTTTAGCTTGTTATTATTCCATAGTATGGATGTATCTTAATTGATTTTGTCATTTCTTATAATTAAATGATGCTTTTCATTTTTTCTATTGAAAGTAGTCCTGTAATGAATATCTTAATAACACTGCTTTAAAAAGAATATAGTATAACTATGTAAGCTATAGTCCTGCCACTGTTCCTTTACTAAAAGAGATATTATGTTGAATGAATTAATAAAACTTCAAAGATTTTAAGATAGTCCCAATGTTATTCCCACAACTAAATTGGTTCTGGCCCAGTATATTAATTTCCTAGGACCACTATAATGTATGATCACAAACTGGGTGGCTTAAAACACTAGAAATTTACTCTCACAGTTCGAGAGCTCAGAAGTCCAGAACCAAAGTGTTCACAAGGTTGATTCCTTATGGAAACTCAGGGAAGAACTGTTCCTTGTCTCTCTTTTAGCATCACTCTAATCTCTTACTCCATCATCACATGGCTTTCTTCTCTGTGTGTCTTCACTTATAAGGACACCAAGTCGTTGGGTTCAAGTCTCACCCTAATCCCATATGACCTCATCTTAACTAATTACATCTGTGAAGATGTAGCTTGCTGGGGTTCTTCATGTATAGATTAATATACACTCTTATTAAATATTATTAAATATCTGGCTCCCTTTGCAACTTGATAATCCCTTATCTGGATTCTTGCGACCAAATTATTTAAGATTTAGATTTAGATTTTAGAAAGAAAATATCAGGTATATACCATATATTACATAATACCCCATTAAAATCTGGAACAACACCCCACAATCAAGCACATTACTATTTCTGCAGTCAAGAGTGTGCACATTCATACCAAGTAAGATGAATAAAGACAATACATAATTTCATATTATTTCCAGTTTTTTAAAATTTGGCAGCAAGTTTAGACAAATAAAAATAAAAAGTTTTCAATTTTCAGAGGTTTGGGGATTTCAGAATTGCAGATTCTGTGGTCCTGAATTTGAGCTCATTTTCAGGCCCCAATTTTAAGCCCAAGTCAACAGTCCACTTACTGCGGTAGTCTAAGGCAAATAGTCCAGGTACATCAACTTACAAGTACAAAAGTGGTCACAATATTATTCATATCTGATATCCACCAGCTCCAAAGTTATTTCTACTCATGTAAGTTTTGCAATACATTGCAAAGCTCTCTATTCCTCAGATACTTTTGGAAATGTGCAGGGTCCTATATATATCCACAGAGCCATCCTCGACACTTGCTAGTATAGCTACTGAGCCAGGCATCTCAGCTGAGAATCAGCATGCAGAGGCCTTCCTCTGAGATGATCGTCTGCTCTCCTGAACTGAGGCTGTTCTATGTCCCTGGAATCAGAGGCCATTCCCATCACTGTTGTCTCCCCTGATTCCTCAGTGCCAGTCCCTGGAATATACCCTGAAGTACCCCAATGAGAAGGAAAATGTGGCCCCTTCCTGTGATAAGCTTAGTTAGAGGTTGTCCTACCTATGGCTACCAAACTGTTAGAGAGTTTACTGAAAGAATTCTTCCAGTTTGCTCATATAACCCTTTTTCTCCATGGTTTATACTCATGGTTCAGGGTAGATTGTTTACTGTGTTAGTTTCCTATTGTTGCTCTAACAAATAACCACAAATTTAGTGGCTTAAAAAACACTAGGCCGGGCACGGTGGCTCACACCTGTAATCCTAGCACTTTGGGAGGCTGAGGTGGGCAGATCACCTGAGGTCAGGAGTTCCAGACCTGCCTGACCAAAATGGAGAAACCCCATCTCTACTAAAAATACAAAACTAGCCGGGCATGGTAGTGCATGCCTATAATTCCAGCTATTCAGGATGCTGAGGCAGGAGAATCGCTTGAACCTGGGAGGCAGAGGTTGCGATGAGCCGAGATTGCGCCACCGCACTCCAGCCTGGGCAAGAGCAAAACTCCGTCTCAAAAAACAATCAAACAAAATAAACCACAAACATTATCTTACAGTTTTGGAGGTCAGAAGTTTGAAATGGATTTTAGAGCTAAAATCAAGGAGTCAATAGGGTTTTCCTTTCTAGAGGCCCTGAGGGACTGTTTCTTTACCTTTTCTACCTTCTGGAAGCTGCCCTCATTCCTTGGCTCATGGCTCCTTCCTCCATCTTCAAAGCACATCACTCCAACTTCTGCTTCTATTATCATGTCTCTACTCTCTAAGGACCCTTGTGATTTCTTTAGACTCCCCTTGGAGAATTCAGGATAATCTTCCCATGTCAATGTTCTTAATTTAGTTACATCTGCAAAGTCCCTTTTTCCATGTAAGGTAACATATTTGCAGGTGCTGGGGATTGACATGTGGACATTCTTGGAGGGTCATTATTCTGCCTACCACATGTTTAACTTAAAACCAGCCCTCATGCTCCATGCCAGCTCACTTTGCCACCCATAAAATAAACTCTCCCTCTGTGGTCCATCATGCACCCTGCAATCTCACCTTTAGCCAGTCCACCTCTCTACTCCTCATCATCCCCAATTTATCAGAAATATTTTGTTGAACATAGAAAGGAAAACAACATGATTTCCTAGTCAAATCTTTCCAAATTTTATTAAGATCCTCTTCAAGTTGCCCTTGATTCAGATAATGTTCTCAGATGGAATGGATGAGAATCCTTGACTCTCTCAAACAATGCAGATTAACAATTTTATTTGTCAAACAATTTTAAATTTACAATTGACCCTCACAAAAACCTAATCAATATGAAGAGGGGGAAATGAGAAGTTGCTGTTCAATGGATGTTTTATTCCCATTGAAGTTAAGGAAACTGAGGCTCTGAAACATTAAATCCCTTCATCAAGGTTATATTGCTAGCAATCCATTTTATCCGATGATAAAAAAGCCAAAGGAAGGGCCAGCCATGGTGGCTCACATCTGTAATGCCAGCACTTTGGGAGGCCAAGGCGGGCGGATCACTTGAGGTCAGGAGTTCGAGACCAGCTTGGCCAACATAGTGAAACCCTGTCTCTACTAAAAATACAAAAATTAGCCAAGTGTGGTGGCACGTGCCTATAATCTCAGCTACTAGGGAGGCTGAGGCAGGAGAACCACCTGGACCCAGGAGGCAGAGGTTGCAGTGAGCCAAGATTATGCCACTGCACTCCAGCCTGGGCAACAGAGCAAGATTCTCTGTCAAAAAAAAAAAAAAAAAGCCAAAGGAAAAAAGACAGAACTCACCCAAAAAAGTGTCAAATTATGAAATTAGGATAAAATATATAAATTATATACTATGTATATTAATTATAAATTATAATAAAATATGCATATGGATGTGCTTATATTTGTATTGTACACGTCACACAAGACAACCTTAAGACAATTGAGAATCTAGAGAAACATGATCTCAGGGCCCTCTTGCTGCCCCCAATTTGTCCTTCCTCCACCCACTTCCCCAACCCTTTCTAGCCCTAGCACCCTGCCCTTATCTTGCCCTCTGGCTACTGTGAATCCTTCTAGAAGAACTCTGTGAAATAATAATGTTATCTGAGTCACATATCTAACTTTAATTTTTTCAGTTTTACTTTTTAAAGAGTGAAAAGAGACAGATACAGTTTATTTTAATAATATATTTTATTTAACCCAACGTATCCAAAATATTACCAATTTGACCTGTAGTCAGTATTAAAAATTGTTAAGGAAATATTTCCATTCTCTTCTCATTCTAAGTCTTTATTCAAAACCCAGTGTGTACTTTATATTTATAGCACGTCAGTTTGAACTAGCTGCATTTCTTTTTTTCCTTTTTTTTTTTTTTTGAGACAGAGTCTCGTCCTAGGCTGGAGTGCAATGGCACGATCTCCGCTCACTGCAACCTCCGCCTCCCAGGTTCAAGTGATTCTCCTGCCTCAGCCTCCTGAGTAGCTGGGACTACAGGCACATGCATTTCAAATACTCAGTAGCCACATGTGACCGACAGCTAACCATATTTGTGATTGCAATTCAAGGACCCAAAATATTCCAACTGTCCCTTTTCTCTGTTTTAATCTGACTTCTACCGTTATCTCCCAGTAAAACTCTGGTTCTCTTTTGTCCTAAGATGTCTATTAGTGGCTCTAACAAAAGTGTTTAGTTATTCAATGAATATATGAGTGTTAATAATCTTCTCTTTGGATCAAAAAAAAGTGTAGTCTTCTAAAAATAGAACTACCAGGCCAGGCGTGGTGGCTCATGCCTGTAATCCCAGCACTTTGGGAGGCCGAGGCGGGTGAATCACGTGAGGTCAGGAGTTTGAGACCAGCCTGGCCAACATGGTGAAACAACCTCTCTATTAAATACAAAAAATTAGCCTGGCATGGTGGACCATGCCTGTAATCCTAGCTACTTGGGAAGCTGAGGCAAGAGAATCACTTGAACCTGGGAGGCGGAGGTTGTAGTGAACCAAGATTGCGCCATTGCACTGCAGCCTGGGCAACAAGAGCAAGACTCTGTCTCAAAAAAAAAAAGGCCAGGCACAGCGGCTCACACTTGTAATCCCAGCACTTTGGGAGGCCAGGGTGGGTGAATCACGAGGTCAGGAGTTCGAGACCAGCCTGGCCAACATGGTGAAACCCCGTTTCTACTAAAAATACAAAAATTAGCTGGGCGTGGTGGTGGGTGCCTGTAATCCCAGCTACTTGGAGGCTGAGGCAGGAGAATCACTTGACCCCAGGAGGCAGAGGTTGCAGTGAGCCGAGATCATGCCACTGCACACCAGCCTGGGCGACAGAGCTAGACTCCTTCTCAAAAGAAAAAAAAAAATAGAACTACCATTCAACCCAGCA
Organism: Homo sapiens; assembly: GCF_000001405.40. Classification (NCBI taxonomy): domain Eukaryota; kingdom Metazoa; phylum Chordata; class Mammalia; order Primates; family Hominidae; genus Homo; species Homo sapiens. The sequence continues at coordinate 105,020,584 of NC_000009.12, forward strand.
ATCCCATTACTGGGTAGATACCCCAAAGGAAAACAAATCATTCCACCAAAAAGACACATGCACCCGTATGTTCATCGCAGCACTATTTACAATAGCAAAGACATGGAATCAACCTAGGTGCTCATCAATAGTGACCTGGATAAAGGAAATGTGGTACATATACATCATGGAATACTACACAGACATAAAAAAGAACAAAATCATGTCCTTTGCAGCAATATGGATGCAACTGGAGGCCATTATCCTAAGCAAACTAACATAGAAATATAAAACCAAATACCACATATTCTCTAAGTGGGAGCTAAACGTTGGGTACTCGTGGACATGATGATGGAAACAACACACTGGAGAATACCAGAGGGAGGAGGTAGTGAAGAGAGCAAGAGTTGAAAAACTACCTATTGGATACCATGCTCACTACTTGGATGACGGGTTCAATCATACTCCAAACCTCAGCATCATGCAGTATACCTTTGTAACAAACCTGCGTATGTGCCCCCTGAATCTAAAATAAAAGTTGAAAAAAAAAATGTGTGTTCTTGTCCATTTAGTCTCTCTCTCTCTTGGCTGGGGTAGTTCCCTGAATTTTGAGATGCAGAATCTATAGAATGAGTAGAGACATAAGAAGCAGGGGAAGAATTTAACGAGATACCCAGTTTTATAAGAGATCAAGTTTTTCATAAGAGCTGGGCTATAGTAGAAAAGGAGACAGAAGAAAATGGACGGTGAGGACATTATGCTAAGAGTAATCAGTCAGTCGCAGAAGGACAAATACTGCATGGTTCCACTTACATGAGGCATCTAAAGTAGCCAAACTCATAGAAGCAAAAACAGACAGTAAAATGGTGGGGGAGAGGGAAAGTGGGGAGTTGCTGTTCAGTGGGTTTCAATAACGCAAGATGAAAAGGTTCTAGAGAGCGGCTGTACAACACTGCACCTATGGTTAACGATAACGTGCTATACACTTAAAAACTGAAGAGGGTAGATCTCATATTATGAGGGGTTTTCTTGTTTGTTTTTTGTTTTATTCTTATTTTAAAAAGGAATTAGTAGAAGAAAATGGGGCCAGGGCTGAAGGCGGAGGATGGGAGTTTGGCACATGAGAGATTCCAGAGCAGATTCAAGATATAACAGAATTGGAGAGTGGAGGAAGGAGTTTTTGAGATGTGCGGTTCTGCGCTGGGAACTGGATCCCCTTCAATAATTTATAAGAGACATGAATAAAAAATAGAATCAATTTTTAATAACTTTGGAGGGAATTCTTATTTCTTCTTTAAATGTGACTGTGGATAGAATGAACTGCATGAGCATCAGGAATTTGTTACGGTTGCATATATTATGTCCTGTCTACAATTAGAATGATAAAGTCTTGGGGAAAGTGCAGGCTCCAAGTCAAGTTGAATAGCCTCTGCCTCTTACTAGCTCTATGATGTTGGGCAAGTTTCTTCCGCTGACATGGAGGTCATAATACCTACTGCGTAAGTCTGTTTGGAGTATTCAATATGAATGAGATTACATAAATGATGGCACCTATAGAGAATGTGACAAATAGTAGCTGTACCATAACTGTGATTGCTTTCAGAATGACTCAGACCAGGGAACCTGTTATGGTCGCAAGGTCTCAAACTTCAGAGATCATTCTAATACTTAAGGAAAAGGACTATATTAACTGCTTTCCAAAGAAATGGAGGCAAGAGATGGCTCAAATGCTCTAAGTTCTGCAATCTCACCATGCAGTACACATCCCTAAAGCTTTGTAAGTTTAAAAGTTCCTCTGTGTAAATTTAAATTCCAATGAGTTACTATTTATTCACCCATCAGATTGGCAAAGATGGAAAAACTAATAACACGTGTTAGCCAAGAGTGTGGAAAAATGTGCACCTTCACACATTGCTGAAGACAGCACAAAATCACATAACCTCTGTGTAAGGTAATTTGACAAAATCTATCAAAATTTTAAACGTACCTTTTAACAGCAAGTTTATTTCTAGTAATTTAGCTTACAGATATTCTCCCACAAAATGATATATGTATGATGGTAATATTTGCAACATTGTTTGTAATACCAAAAGCTTGCAAACAACATATATGTCAATCTAAATGAAACTGGTCTAATAATATATGACTTTTATTTTATTTTATTTTATTTTATTTTATTTTATTTTAATTTTATTTTATTTTATTTTATTTTATTTTATTTTATTTTTTGAGGCACAGTCTCACTCTGCTGCCCAGGCTGGAGTGCAGTGGCTCGGTCTCTGCTAACTGCAACCTCTGCCTCTCGGGTCCAAGTGATTCTGGTGCCTCAGCCTCCTGAGTAGCTGGGACTACAGGCGAGTGCCACCACGCCCAGCTAATTTTTGTATTTTTAGTAGACATGGGGTTTTGCACGTTGGCCAGGCTGGTCTCAAACTCCTGACACTCAAGTGATCTGCCCACCTTGGCCTCCCAAAGTGCTGGGATTACAAATATGAGCCACCGCACTTGGCCCCAAACATATTTCGACAATTGATTCTATGCAGCATTTAATAAAAATAAAACAGCTCTGGGCCAGGTGCAGTGGCTCACACCTGTAATCCTAGCACTTTGGGAGGCTGAGGCAGGTGGATTACCTGAGGTCAGGAGTTCAAGACCAGTCCGGCTAACATGGTGAAACCTTGTCTCTATTAAAAAATACAAAAATTAGCTGGATGTGGTGGCACATGCCTGTAATCCCAGGTACTCGGGAGGCTGAGGCAGGATAACTACTTGAACCCGAGAAGCAGAGGTTGCAGTGAGCCGAGATCATGCCACTGCACTCCAGCCTGACAACAGAGCGGAACTCTGTCTCAAAAAAAAAAAAAAAAAAAAACACAAAACGAAAAACAAAACCATACTGCAGGCCAGGCATGGTGGCTCATGCCTGTAGTCCCAGCACTTTGGTAGTCAGAGGCGGGCGGATCACCTGAGGTCAGGAGTTTGAGACTAGCTTGTCCAAAATGGTGAAAACCCATCTCTACTAAAATTACAAAAATTAGTCAGGCGTGGTGTCGTGCGCCTGTAATCCCAGCTACTTCGGAGGCTGAGGCAGGAGAATCGCTTGAACCCAGAAGGTGGAGGCTGCGCAAGATTACGCCACTGCACTCCAGCCTGGGTGACACGACCAGAACTCCGTCTCAAAACAAAAACAAAACAAAACAAAACAAAAAACATACTGCGGAGGGAGGGAGTATTAAAGAGAAGCCTACAGCTTCTACAACTCAAACCAGGAGCTCAATGTTCTTGAATTGACATGGTCCGAAGTGACATCTCTCAGCTCTGCTTCTTTCTGCAGTTGGCCTCTTCTGCAGACAGTTTCTCCACAATGGCTTCAAGCTGCTAGCACTTGCATCATCCACACAGCTTGCACCTCAGAGAAAGCTATCTTTCCTGATAGCTCCTGCAGAAAGGTCCAGTTTGGGTAATGTGCCTGCCCCTGAACCAATCACTGTGGCCAAGGAGATGGAATAGTCTGACTGGCCAGTCTTGAGGCTGAGGTGAGCTAAGCCCCACCCAAATAGCATAGAATGGGGGAACCAGAAAGTTATGTGCCATTAATATTCAGCCTGGGGTTGGGTGCAGTGGCTTACGCTTGTAATCCCAGCACTTTGGGAGGCTGAGGTGGGTGGATCATTTGAGGCCAGGAGTTCAAGACCAGCCTGGCCAACACGGTGAAACCCCGTCTCTACTAAAAATACAAAAAAAAAAATAAAAATAAAAAAACTAGCCGGGCATGGTGGTGGAAACCTATAATCCCAGATACTTGTGAGGCTGAGGCAGGAGAATCGCTTGAACCTGTGAGGCAGAGGTTGCAGTGAGCCGAGATCATGCCATTGCACTCCAGCCTGGGCAACAAGAGCGAAACTCCATCTAAAAAAAAAAAAAAAAAAAAAATTCAGCCTGGGCAAGGAAGAGGAGAGATAGTAGCTTTGATAAGGAGAAACCATCCAGGCTGAGTTATAGGGGCTAGGAATTAAAACGGAGCCATCCAGGGTTTAAAAACGGGTCTCAGAGCTGAATGAAAAGATCTCTGTGGTTCCGTGGAGACTTTTAACGCCACACTCTTTCAATTTAGGAGACAGCCTTCCTGGGCATCTACAGCGGGGCCCAGTGCAACGCTGTGAGCTACAATGGGCAGCCACAGGGATGCACCAAGCAGTCTTTGTCAAAATTGACTAATGCAATCTCCTCTTTTGCTTCAGACATTGAGTCCTAACCACTATTTGTCATCACCTAAACCGTTGGTAGTTTCTCAAAATTTTTCCCTGTTTAACACATCTGAAGGAAATAATACACCTCTGTATGTAAAGTGGCCCTTATTATATCAGTGATTGGGGAGGCAGAGGATGCTGGGATTTTCAGAGGGAAAAGGCATTCCCTGGCAAAGAATGTTAGGATGCTGTGGAGAAAGAAGGGAGGATTAACATTTTTAAAAAGTCGCCTGGGTGATTCTGCTATACCTAGGTAGAAAGGCATTCCTCCCTCTGTCCCATGCTACAGGGGAGAATCAATATTGTTCCACATACAAAATTTTAACCCTATAGGTCATCCAGTGTGACACTAGCCACCTACTCATGGTAATCGCTAACAAGGCAGCCACTTGTAACACAATCTAAATCTTGGGATTGGCCAGGTGCGGTGGCTCACGTCTGTAATCCCAGCACTTCGGGAGGCCGGGGCAGGCAGATCACCTAAGGTCAGGAGTTCGAGATCAGCCTGGCCAACATGGTGAAACCCCGTCTCTACTAAAAATACAAAAATTAGCTGGGTGTGCTGACAGGTGCCTGTAATCCCAGCTACTTGGGAGGCTGAGGCAGGAGAATCACTTGAACCCGGGAGGTGGAGGTTGCAGTGAGCCGAGATCGCATCACTGAATTCCAGCCTGGGCGATAAGAGCAAAACTCCATCTCAAAAAATAGATAAATAAATCTTGAGACTTTACAAGTCCCAAATCCATATCCCATGAGGGCATTTGCAAACATAATGTTAAATTTCTTAATGTTGTGCCTACCCTCTGACCCAGTAAGTCTACTTCTGGGCATTAAATCTAAAAGAAATGGAAATAATCCATACAGAAAGAGCTTTATTGACAAAGCTCTATAAGGAATTACATATAATAATGAAATTACATATAAGAATTTTCATTAATTTACATATAATAAAAAAATGAAGTAGACTAAATTCATAGGAAGAAAGTGATACGAGCTGCTCTGTGTACATCAACTCATCTAACCTATTTAATTCTCACAACAACCCAGTGAGGTTGGTATTATTTTTATTTTATGTATTTATTGTTTTACAGTTAGGGATTCAAGGCACTGTGTAGCAAATACTGATTATAGTTTTATGCATATAAATTTTGCATAAATTATATATACATAAAACTATAATCAGTGTTTGCTATAATACAAATTTATGCAAATTTATAAATATAATTATTAATAACTTGTGTAACAGAAAAATTATTAGGTGGCAATATTAAGTGGAAAAACAAATGGATGATATAATATCAGTTATATAAAATATGCATTAAAAAGGACTTTAAAACATATTAAAATGTTATCAACAGCTATCCTTGGATGGTGAGTTACTTTCTTCTTTCTGCTTTTCTATATTCTGTAAACTGTCTATATTAAGAATGACTGATTTTTAATTTTAGTAAAAATAAAACAAATTGTTTAAGAGTTACCTTCATATACATTAAGACATTATAGTGAATATCCCTGGGTAAGTGGAATTGTGGAGTCTGTTGTTCTTTGTAGTTTCATGTTTTCCAGTGATAAATATTCATTATTTTTGAGAAAAAGGAAAAAACTAATAAAAGAAACATTTTAAAAAGAAATGTCACTTTGGACCATGTCAATTCAATAATTCATTCAAAGCATTTAGGGTTGCCTTCCCTACCCCCTTGCCACCCAACTCTTTGTAACTTAAAATAAAAGGCCATTATCCATTTTGCCTCATAGAAAGCCATTTCTTGCAGGATTGTAAACCACAAACAACGGGAAGACACACTCACTGAGCTGTGCATTTGCAAAATGCATGCAGTCAGGAGTTAGTATGAGCAATGTTTCTCTAAGAGGAACAATGCACATAACTCCCTCCTGCAGAAATGTTTTACCAGTGCCTCATAAATGTGGGCTCAATGTAACTGAGGACAAAAGAAATCTTCAGGTCCTTTGAAAGAGCATTCAGCTTTCAGAAGCCAACAGAGAGAGTTCAAAAAGTTCCAAAAATAAGAATCTTCCATAAGATATCCTCATTCCCAGCCAGTGAGGTGCAGTTTCTGTGGCAGAGGAAAGAGAGCAGATTCTGGAGTCACAGTCCTGTCATTTATCCCACCAAGAAACAGGTAGATCTTCGACTTCCATCCTTCCTCAGTAGAATCTTAGCCCAAGACCCCGTCATCTCTCACTTGGATTGTTGACATGTCCACCTTGCTTTTCTCAGCACTTCCACTCTTTCATCTTTCTAACCTTTTTCTTTACAGAAAAGCCAAAGTGATTATTTAAAAAAATAAATTAGAGCATTTTGCCTCCTGTTTGAAACCCTTGAAGACTGACCCATTCCATCACAAATAAAATGTATATTCCTCTTCATAGTTAAGAAATCTGATAGGACTAGAGCTGCCTTCTCTCCACTGTCATCCTGGGCCTCTGTGACCTCACCAGCGTTCCTGCAGCTATATTGGAGTATTTTCGGTTCCTTGGGTACATTGAGCTTCTTCCCACTTCTGAGCCTTTAAACCAGCTGTGTGCTCTACTTGGAAGAACTCTGCCTTCTCCTTTTATGGTTTCAGCTAAATTTCAGCTCCCTTGAAAGGCCTGTCTGACCACCCAATCTAAGTAGTTCTCCTCCTCCCAACCCTGCCCCCAATATTCTCTACCATTGCACCCAATCATTTCCTATACAGCACTTGTCACAACTTAAAATCGTGCATTTCTACCTTTGTTTACTTGCTTATTGTCTGCTATCCAGAGTGTAAGATTCATATCTGGTTTATTCACCACTGTATTACTTTCAGTGTGACTCCAGAATAATGCCTGGCACTTAATAGCTGTTTAAAAAAATGTTGAATGAATTAATTAATTCAACTGCTTATTTATAATGTGTCCTTGCATAGGTTTCTTGTCCTCTCTAGGATTCCGTTACTTCATCTGTGCAATGAGAATACTAATTCCCCATCTATAGATAAATGTTTATAAAAGGTCAAGCACAGTAGCAGGTACAGAGAAAGCTCTCCTGAAACTAGCTTTTGTTATGAAGGCTACTATGGGCCGGACAGGTAATAGAGAAATCCCATTTTTATCTTGTGAACTGATATATGAGCTACTGGTGTTGTAAAAAGCACATAATGGGTCCTTGACAAATGTCTGATCGATGAATCAATTACCAACTAAAAACTTTAAAATTCTAACCTATAAAAAGTTTACCACATGCACTGTTTATAACTTTTAAAATTGAATACAATTTAAATGTCCATCAATAGGAGAACAGGGAAATAAGTCTGGTATATACATACAATAGAATTATGTCTCAACGTAGATTGGGCTATAAAAATTATTAGTTTACAGCTGGGTGTGGTGGCTCACGCCTGTAATCCCAGCACTTTGGGAGGCAGTGGCGGGCAGATCACCTGAGGTCAGGAGTTCGAGACCAGCCTGACCAACATGGAGAAACTCCATCTCTACTAAAATACAACATTAGCTGGGCATGGTAGCACATGCCTGTAACCCCAGCTACTCGGGTGGCTAAGGCAGGAGAATAGCTTGAACCTGGGAGGCGGAGGTTGCAGTGAGCCGAGATAGTGCCATTGCACTCCAAACTAGGCAATGAGAGAAAAACTCCGTCTCAAAAAAAAAAAAATATTATTAGTTTGTGACATATAAAGATGAAATGACCAAAGCATAAGGAAAAGAGAAACCTTAGCAATAAACAGGTGAATTTATTAAAAAAAAAATACAATCCAGTGTGTCCAGATTGGCTGTGAACTACCTTTAAATTCACAAAGGGAGCTTGGGATAAAATTAGCATTATTTTAAGAGTCAAGATCTGGCTTTTCTCATCTTGACTGTGGCATCAAGTAACTACTAGATCTTGGGTAGGTCTCTGTCTCTCTCTGGGGCCTCATCTTCTAAAATGAAAGGCTTGGACTAGATGATTGTTAAAGTTCTGCCATTTTCTTAGAGTTTATCACTTCATCCACGATTCACAGCCCTCATTGTTAATTAACCATCATTTCCTCATTAACAATGGTGGTGGTTTATCTACATTGCTTAGTCTCATGAAATAATTAGCAATACTCTATTTGGTGGTGGAAGAACTCAACTGGGGTCTATACATGCTGCAAATAAAGTATTACTATAACATTCTGATTCTTTTTTTTTTTTTTTTTATGAGACAGAGTCTCACTCTGTCACCCAGGCTGGAGTGCAGTGGCACAATCTCGGCTTACTGCAACCTCCACCTCCCAGGTTCAAGTGATTCTCCTGCCTCAGCCTCCTGAGTAGCTGGAACTACAGGCATGCGCCACCATGCCCGACTAATTTTTGTATTTTTAGTAGAGACAAGGTTTCACCATGTTGGACAGGCTGGTCTCGAACTCCTGACCTCAAGTGATCCACCCACCTTGGCCTCCCAAAGTGCCGGGATTACAGGAGTGAGCCACTGCTCCCAGCCCATCCTGATTCTTTATAACCCAAAATTCATGTTTGCAATCTAGAGCATGACCTCAAATAACTGCATATTAGACCTCCAAATTTAAAAATCCTAAATTTTCTAGGTTGCTGTTCTGCAGAGTAGTAATTCACTAAATAATTGTCAATTCTTACCAAGGACTTTATATGACAGTCTTATCACCCAGATTATGTGGGGTTTTTTTTATTTTTTTTTTATTTTTTATTATTTTTTTTTTTTGTTGGAGATGGAGTCTCTCTCTCTCACCCAGGCTGGAGTGGTGCAGTGGAGTGATCTTGGCTCACTGCAACCTCTGCCTCCCAGGTTCAAGCGATTCTCCTGCCTCAGCCTCTTGAGTAGCTGGGACTACAGGCATGCACCACCATGCCTGGCTAATTTTTGTATTTTCAATAGAGATGGGGCTTCACCATGTTGGCCAGGCTGGTCTCAAACTCTTGACCTCAGGCAATCCATCTGCCTCTCCCTCCCAAAGTGCTGGGATTACAGGTGTGAGCCACCATGCCTGGCCCAGATTATGTCTTTAAAATAATTACTCTGGATTTTATTTATTTATTTACATATTTATTTATTTATTTTGAGACAGAGTCTCACTCTGTTGCCCAGGCTGGATGTGATGTGAGCTCCCTGCAATCTCTACCTCCTGGGTTCAAGGGATTCTTCTGCCTCAGCCTCCCGAGTAGCTGGAATTACAGGCACCCGCTGCCACACCTGACTAATTTTAGTATTTTTAGTAGTGACAGGGTTTCACAATGTGTCCAGTCTGGTCTTGAACTCCTGACATCAAGTGATCCACCTGCCTCAGCCTTTCAAAGTGATAGGATTACAGGCGTGAGCCACCGCACCTGGCTAAATAATTACTCTGGAAGCTGGGTGTTTCCAGAATAGGAGCAGAAAGGAACTACACCAGAAAATTGCAGTAATCCAAGCCAAAAAAAAAAGTCTGAACTGAGGCATTGGCAGTAGGAATGGAGAGGGAAAATTTTGTTTGAGAATCATTTAAGAGACACACAAAATGAGAACATAAAAGATTTGTATGTGAGTGCATCACCGTTGCCTGTTTGCTGCTTTTGCTAAACTGAGCTGCTAATATTTAGAGCCATGTCTTAATCATCCTTGTCTCTCCTGTTACGGCACATTTTCTAGCAGTGATATTAATACATAGTAATGCTAAGTAAATGTTTACTGAATGAATGGTGCAGAATGAAGGGTGGGAATTGTTGAGGATGGCAGTAGACTTTTTTAGCTTGGATACTTGGATGATTGATTGGACTGAGAGTGAAACATGTAAGGACGATAACTTTGGGGTGGAGGGAAAGGACTTGCATATGGGTTGGGACATGTTGACTTTTTTTTTTTGAGACTGAGTCTTGCTGTATCACCCAGGCTGGAGTGCAATGGCGTGATCTTGGCTCACTGCAACCTCCACCTCCTAGGTTCAAGCGATTCTCATGCCTCGGCCTCCCAACTAGCTAGGATTACAGGTGCCCGCCACCTGCATTTTTTATTTTTAATAGAGATGGGGTTTCACCATGTTGGCTAGGCTGGTCTCGAACTCTTAACCTCAAATGATCTGCCTGCCTCAGCCTCCCAAAGTGCTGGGATTACAGGTGTGAGCCATCACGCCCAGCTGGATATGTTGAATTTGAGGTACCAGTGGTACAACCCAGTAGCGGTTGATATCCAGGGCCGGAGCTCTAGAGAAAATGATGGGCTAGAAAAATAGGTTTGGGAATGGTAGAAGAGGGAAATGCTCAGTGAAATGGGGCAGAGAAATCAGGTCTTCCATGCATAGATAGAAATTTGAGCCTCTCTTCATAGATGTTCCAAGCCCTCCTCTTTTTTTAATGCTTACTTGTGCTATTCCCTCTCCCCTCATCTGAGTACCAGCTTAACTCTTCTTGGAGGCCAGCAGACTCCAATTCCCCATGTGAATCTCAGAGCAAGCACCCAATTGATTCTACAAAGCCTCTATAACTTCCTCTTCTGGCTCATGATCCAGTCATTATTAAGTCTAGATACTATGGAAGACTTACATCCATCCCTTTCACCATTCCTGTTCATTCTTTTTTTTTTTGAGATGGAGTCTCGCTCTGTCACCCAGGCTGGAGTACAGTCTTGGCTCACTGCAACCTCTGCCTCCCAAGTTTAAGTGATTCTCCTGCCCCAGCCTCCTGAGTAGCTGGGACTACAGACCTGCACTACCACACCTGGCTAACTTTTTTGTTTTTGTTTGTTTTTTGTTTTTGAGATGGAGTCTCACTATATCACCCAGGCTGGAGTGCAGTGGCACGATCTCGGCTCACTGCAACCTCCACCTCCCAGGTTCAAGCAATTCTCCTGCCTCAGCCTCCTGAGTAGCTGGGACTACAGGCACACACCACCACGCCCAGCTAATTTTTGTGTTTTTAGTAGAGACAGGGTTTCACGATGTTGGCCAGGATGGTCTTGATCTCCTGACTTCGTGATCTGCCCACCTCGGCCTCCCAACGTGCTGGGATTATGGGCATCAGCCACCACGCCTGGCCATTTTTTTGTATTTTTTAGTAGAGATGGGGGTTTCACCATGTTGGTCAGGCTTGTCTTGAACTCCTAACCTCAAATGATCTTCCTGCCTCGGCCTCCCAAAGTGCTAGGATTACAGTCATGAGCCACCGCACCTGGTCTCCTGTTCGTTCTTAACACTCCCACAGTTTTCCAACTGATTAAGGATCTCACAAGAAATGATATAAGAAAGAGAAATGGCCGGGCTTGGTGGCTTAAGCCACTGTGAGTGTTGGGAGGCTGAAGCGGTCAGATCACATGAGACCAGGAGTTCAAGATTAGCCTGGCCAACACGCTGAAACCCTGTCTCTACTAAAAATACAAAAATTAGCCCACCGTGGTGATGCATGTCTGTAATCCCAGCTACTCAGGAGGCTGAGGCACAAGAATCACTTGAACCCAGGAGGCGGAGGTTGCTGTGAGCTGAGATCATGCCACTGCACTCCAGCCTGGGCCACAGGGCTAGACTCTGTCTGAAAAAAAAAGCAAAAAAAAAAAAAAAAAAAACAACAAAACAGAAAGAGAACTGGAAAGTTCTGTTTTGCAACAGTAAAAATTATAACCAGTCCAGAAACACAAAATATATGTTCTAAATTTCTTATACAGAGGTAGGGAAACTGATGTTTAATCACAACATTAGATCAATGATGACCTACTACTTTGCTCTTCCAGATAAATTTAAAAAATTAGCCTCTAACTTCAAGTATTCTCAGAGATCAAAACTTTGATATAAAAAGATGATTTAACCTTGTCAATTATAGGTTACCATGTGAATCTCTAGCTTGTAAAAACAGCAGGACCTTACATTTATCAGAGGCCATTTTATTTCAGCAAAAATCAAATTGCTTTAATGAATTTATTTCACTGCACCCCAAACCATTTCTTGATGGCAAAAATAAGGCTTAGGTAGTAATCTTTAATTTTGTTGAGCCAACCTAGACACAGTTGTCAAAGAGTGGTCTAAGGCTGCATAAGACAGCACAGAATTAATATCTCAAAACTTAAATCAGAAGTTGAACATGTGCTTCAGTCCTTTGCCTCTTAGACCAGGCTGCCTTTCAGTTTTCCAGTGTTTCCTAAGCTCTAACAAGAGTTTTTTAACTAGGAGAAGGAAAAAAGACGTTTTAAGAATCTTAAGGAAATATATGGCATCTAAACCATCTATGATGAGGAAACGAAGGCCTCTCTAGGCCTTGCCCAATGTCATAGATATTGAGAAACAGAGCTAGGTATTATAAGTCCAGAACTTTTCATTCATTTTTCAAAATTTGTGGCTCTTACTATTTTTATAAAAAATAATGCTTAACAGTTATTGAGTATGTATTAAACTGCCACTGTTATAAGCATTTATTTGCATTAATTTATTTAATCCTATGATTATGTTCATTTTACTGACAAAAATACTGAGTATTAGAGAGAGTACATTTGCTTAAAGCTATGTAGAAAGTTAAGCAAAGGAGCCAAATTTTGAATCCATGTCTGCATGATTAAATCTAAATTCTTTGCAACTATGCAATGCTGCCACAATGCCACAGAATTTAAGAATTTTAATGAATTTCATTGATCATTCTTCTCAGGCTCCTCCACACCTCTGATACATAATGATCTACCTTTTGTTTGAATACCTAGTGATAAAAAGTTTACTATCTAAGAAGGCAGCTCTTTAATTTCAGGGCAGCCAAAACTTGCTTCCCTGAGCCTTCTACCCAATGGAGCAAGTTCTGGATAATAATGGAGCAGTGTCCCCAAAGGACTTCAGGAAAAACAGGAAAAAAAGAAATGGCAACTCCAAGTAAAGCCAGTTCAATTTATGTGGTCAATAGGCAAATTAGAAAGATACAACCTTTCTAGTTTTATATCTCTCTGATCTCATAGAGATATTAATCTAGCAACAATTCAAAGAAGATACTCCCATGTGTAAGGATAACTCTGAAGTCCTCAGGACCAGGAAGTAAATAGATGGCTCCCGTGCCATGAACAATTTGTAAACCCTGAATGAATACCTGTGGACATGTGGAAACTTTCTCAGTTGCAAGTCTCTGTAACAGCTTTAAGGCCACTTCCTGAGAAGAATCTGTCACTAAGTCTTCAAAAGCTCCAAAATTCACCAATTGGGAGTGGGTATTTTTTGAAAGACATTTGGCTTATATTTAAAAATTAACTGAAACCTGCTGATGGGAGTAGGAAGACTCTGAAGGCTCATAATTACGAGATCCAAACTAAAAAAAAAAAATCTACATTTTATCCTCCTCTTTTGTCTGGGGCTTCCTTTAGAGCCATTAATATGCCCATGATGGGGCTTAGAACAATGCTCAGATTGTGTGTAAATGTGTAATAGCACACAACAGACCTGATAACACTGGAATTGGGAATTAATTTTACTCTTTTTCCAGTTGGGTTTTGAGGACCTTTGAAGGGTTTTGTCGATAACAGAATAATTCCCAGTATGTAAAAGCTAAGTGGGTTGCTTAATAGTTACACAGTTTCTTTTGGGGAATAATGGGAAAGTTTTGGAAATACTGGCGATGGTTGCACAACATCGTGAAGTAATTAATGCCACAAAATTATACACTGAAAAATAGTTAAAATGATAAATTGTATATTATATATATCATTATATATATATATAGCCACAGCTAAAAAAGTAATGTATCAAAAACTATTGAACTGTACACCATAAATGGGTAAATTAAATGGTATATGAATTATATAGCTCAATAAAGCTGCTTAAAAAAAAAACCCTAAATGAAACCTTAGAAATTATTCAGTCATTAAACTTCATGTTATAGTTGAGGAAATAGAGGCCCAGAGTAGGGAAGGAACTCCATGGAGGCTGCAGATATTTTTCATGTTAAAAAATACTTCATTTTGGGCCAGGCGCGGTGGCTCCTGCCTGTAATCCCAGGACTTTGGGAGGCTGAGGAGGGCAGATCACCTGAAGTCGGGAGTTCGAGACCAGCCTGATCAACATGGAGAAACCCTGTTTCTACTAAAAATACAAAATTAGCCAGGTGTGGTGGCACATGCCTGTAATCCCAGCTACTCAGGAGGCTGAGGCAGGAGAATCGCTTGAACCCAGGAGGCCAAGGTTGAGGTGAGCCGAGATCATGCCATTGTACTCCAGCCTGGGCAACAAGAGTGAAACTCTGTCTCAAAACAAATGAACAAACAAAAAACAAAAAAGAAAACACTTAATTTTAATATTATGTATATATACTTTGCCACAATAAGGAAAAGTATTTTATTTATATTTTGCCATACTTATATGCATCTTAATAAATCTTTTTTTTTTTTTTTTTTTTTTTTGAGACAGAGTCTTGCTTTGTCACCCTGGCTGGAGTGCAATGCCATGATCTTGGCTCACTGCAACCTCTGCCTCCCAGGTTTAAATGATTCTTGTGCCTCAGCCTCTCAAGTAGCTGGGATTACAGGCATGTGCCACCACATCCAGCTAACTTTTGTATTTAGTAGAGATGTGGTTTTGCCATGTTAGTTGGGCTGGTCTCAAACCCCTGGCCCCAAACAATCAACCCACCTCGGCCTCCCAAGATACTGGGATTATAGGCGTGAGCCACTGCTCCCAGCCTTAATAAATCTTAATAAATAAAATTGTAAAATATGATTAACTTATTAAGATTTTCTTGATGTGCAGAAAGATATCTTAAATAAAACATAGCTGACTAGCTTCTCTTTAATAATGTGCTGTGAGACAATTTGAACTCCAAGACCAAGAAGAGAAATCACAGTTCCCTAGGAAGAGAGGAAAACATGCTGACTTACACTCTCTTTTTGGGGCCTTCACAAAAGAACTCTTAGGTCTTTTGTCTTCAGTCCTTTGCCAGATGAGTGTTACAAGATGCCAAATGTTATTGACCAAAAGGCCAATCACACCCCATGAACAACTTACACATCAATTTTCAGCCAGAAACTAAAGAGTTTGCGGACCAAGTGAAGAGTTGAAAAAACTTCCTCACTAATTCAAGAAAAGAAAAAAAAAAGAAAGAAAGAAAGAAAAAGAAATGTTTATATGGAAAAACTAGATGGAAAGTTTTACTAAAATTCCTGAGTTGTTTGACTAGCTCCCAAATACTTAACAGTAATGTCCCACTATATTTAAATGTAGAGGTCAATTGACAGATGCCTCATTATTATTAAAAATTATCAAAGTGCCAATGTTTGAAAATCATTCATTTTTTTTTAAAAAAAGTAAATAATTTCTGGCCGGGCACTGTGGCTTACATCTGTAATCCTAGGACTTTGGGAGGCTGAGGTGGGCAGATCACCTGAGGTCAGGAGTTAAGGAACAGCCTGGCCAACATGGTGAAACCCCATCTCTACTAAAAATACAAAAATTAGCCGGGAGTGGTGGTGGGTGCCTGTAATCCCAGCTACCCAGAAGGCTGAGGCAGGAGAATCGCTGGAAACTAGGAGGCAGAGGCTGCAGTGAATCAAGATCGTGCCACTGCACTCCAGCCTGGGTGACAGAGCAAGATTCTGCCTTAAAATAATAATAATAATAATAATAATAATAATAATTTCTGTGTAACCTACATAAAGCTGGGTCATTGCATGACCCAGCCCCTACTTAGAGTTGCATTCAGTGATTCAATATAAATACGACAAAATGAAATTATATATTTATCTCTACTCCCCCCTAAAACCCAGATAAAATGACATTAAATAAAAAAGACTTTTTGAAAACCCTACGAGAGTAAAGACAGTGGAAAAGGATAAACAAAGGATGACAGAGATCATAGAACTGTTGGAAGATAAAAAGCAAATAGAGATACTTTTTCCTCAGTGACTTAGCAAACAAGAGCAAGTTTCAAACAAAGTTACTGAAAAGAAGAATATAGATAATATGTGAAGTGATTTTTCCAGTGACTTCCCCAGGAAAGCGTCAGCATTTGGAAACAGCAGCCCACCACTAGAGAAGTTTGAAGTCTGGGGTATACTGATGGTAATAATAAGAACAAGAAAACCCAAACCCAGCTCAAGTCCTGATTAGATGATTCAATCCCCCAATACTAATGGTCTGACGGAAGAGAGGTGTACATATATTCAGGTATAAATACTGTTACCTCAGTCTCTACTGTTCTACACATGATACCTGGCAGTCAATCAAAAATTATGAGGCCAAAAAGCAACAACAACAAAAAACCCAAACAACTCATTAGTGGGAGATAAAATAATCAATAGAACCAGACTTAGAGATGACTCAGATATAGGAAATAATGGATACCAGAGAGATAAAAACTATAAGAGTCAAATGGAAATATTAGAAATAAAATATATATCAGATATGATTAATTTCTTTGATTGGGCTTGTCAACTTAAGAATCAGTGACATTTAAAAAGGTCCATAGAAATTATTCAAATGGAAATAGAGAGAAAGAAAACAGTGAATTAAACAGAACAACGAATTCAAAAGCTGTGGGACAATATCCAGCAGTTTAACATACATGTCACTGAAATCACAGAATAAGAAGAGAGAGAAGAAGCAGAAAAAGAAGGAAAGTGAGGGAGTGATGTCATTATATGTCTGGAAAAAGATATCAGTGTAGAAGTACTCCTAGCCTCTCTAGTCCCTGGCAAAGAAGAATTCTCTTTGCCCACTGGTTTGGGCATTTCTTGTGATGAATTAGAGTAACAGGCAGAGATGAATTAGGTGCTTCCAAAATTAGCTTGATTTTATTTCCACTGGAAAGAGTTGGGATTTACTCGTGGGAAAAATAATATATTGAGAAAAAAGTAGTGATCTGAATTAAGAGAGCATTTGGAGAGGGATTTGGACAGAGGGAGGAAAGAGATAAGAGAAGTTGCTATGTTAGAGAGAGATAAATTGGGAAAGAGAAGGTTACATTCTGCCATGCCTTGTAAACTTAATCCTTTAATATAAATCAAGAGTTAAAAATTTAAATTTTATTTTAGCAAAGATTTAAATTACTTTCCGATTATTGGTTGTTGAACCAGTTGTTTGTTTTTATTTAGTTTTCTAGTTTTCAAAGAATATATGCATATAATTAATTAATTTTTAAATAATTAAATAAATTTTTAAAAAATTAAATAAATAAGGCTTATGAAGAAAAAACAGCAGTTCGTTTTGTCCTTCCTCCTACTGGTCCAATTTTGCTCCCCAGAGGCAATCACTTTTCACTTTTATACCTTTATTGACATCCATATTTTGAAATGATAAGTTCGTTTTTTATTGATTCATTCATTTTAGACATTATCTACTAACTTTCCAGAGTGGCAAGTGAATATTTAGGTTTATTTTACTTCCCTACTCAATTTCTGGGTTTTCCAACTTCCAAGTAGCCTCATATTACAATCTTTTGTTAAATCAATAGTCAATGTTTACTTAATTACAACTATAAACATTCTTTACCGCTGGGCCATGTGCTGTATTTTGATTATGATTCCTTTCTTATATATGTTGGGTTTTCTAAGGTTAAGCTTTAACTACTCAAATGCTCCAACTGGCTCGTAAATTCTTCTCAAATTCCCCAACAGATTTATAAAACCGCTCTTAATACTAATTTCCACATTAAAAAATAATCATAAAATCTCCCAGATCCAATTTTCTGGTTCTTTTCCTAGAAAACTCATTTTTAGGGCTTATCATTCTCCTTTTTCAATTAGGACTTGCTCTTTCTGCCTACCCCTACCCTGAGCTGTTTTCCTGGGACTTTCCTTTGGTTCATTCCTGAGTTGGATCATGTTTCCTGGTCTCACATCTCCCTCTTTCTTAATTTATTCCTCTTTTTGGTGAAGCTCTTACTCCAGGGGCTTCCGGAGAAATGATGATTTTGAGGTAAATTAGTTTTGTGTTTTTGCATGACTGGTAATGTCATTTCTCTGCCCTCTTACTTGATTAACAATTTGGGTTTCAAA